>NC_000013.11:75680833-75832348 GCF_000001405.40 Homo sapiens | reverse complement strand
ATAAGCCCCAAAACAATAGCCTCTTGGACAAAAGGTATAATTATTCTCATAGCTATCACTGTACTACACAACAAATTCCAAATTTCATGGAACTTAAGTTATTTTCTAAACCAAATGTTTCGAGTTTTACAGTATACTACGTCTGTGCAAACCTTAATTTCTTTTGTAATTTACATATTTTGTTTTGAGTAAGCAACAGATAGATTTTAATATGAATTTATGAGACCAGTGTTTCAGCTCTGTTTCCTAATCACAAAAAACTTAGACTTACCTGTTAAAATTCTTCCTAAACCTGTTTTACTTTCCAGAAAAAGACCTACCAAATCTCCATTTTAACTTGGCAGTTAAACCTAACCCAGGAACTAATTGGGCACTTCATAAAGCTTTCTGCCTAAGTTTTTCTACCCATAAAACAGGTTTAAAACAAGTAGCAATATTCTGAGAAAAACTAGGATAGTACTTGCTATGGTGTGGATGTGATTTGTCGCCACCAAAACTCATGTTAAAATTTAATTGCCAATGTGGTAGTGCTGGGAAGTGTTACCTTTAACAGGTGTTTGGGTCATGAGGATCTGCCCTCATGAAGGGATTAATGCAGTCTCATGGGAGTAAGTTCTCACTCTAGCAGGACTGAATTAGTTACCACAAGAGCAGGTTGTTATAAAGTGAGGTTGCCTTGTTTTGGGTCTCTGCACACAACATTTGCCTATCTGCTTTTCCACCATGTTGTGACACAGCACATGGTGCTCACCTGAAGCCAAGCAGATGTTGGTGCCATGCTCTTGGACTTTCCAGCCACCAGAACCATGAGCCAAATAAACCTCCTCTTTTCTTTATAAATTATTCAGTTTCAGGTATTCTGTTATAGCAACATTAAATGGACTGAGTACACAAGAATTTGAAGGAAGGCACTAAATAAAGGATCAAGAATTTACTACTCTATATGGACAGGCAGAAGTATTATGACTTTCACTCATTCAATTGTTTGACATACATTTATTGTTTACTCTGTATAAAATAATACAATACTTAGCACTTTGGGAAACAAAGGTAAATTAGGGATGATTCTCGCTCTCAAAAAATAATTGTTTATATCTCAGTGGGTATGGGATTTTTAGCTTTCAGCAGAAAGCCCTTTGTAAAGCAGTTTAAATGTGGAAATGCAGATGTAGTCATAACACTCGTTAATAATCACCTGATGAATGCCAATCTGAAGAATATAATAAAACTCTGCTAAGAATAGCAAAAACTACTGGTAGGTTCTACTCCTTAGCCAAAACCACCATACACTTAAGTTAGAGATGACTCAGTGAAAATAAGTGGTCATCTTCACCACTCTTACAAAAAAAAAAAATCTGACTTAGAGCCAATTAAAGTGCAGAATCTATTTGCTATATAAGGAAGAGAGACAAACAGACAAATCATGGGTTACATATTCAAAACATTGTGTTTTATAGCTTGAAGAATAAAAGACAGGATGGAGTCTTAATAAATACTCTCAAACTACATAAAGCATATTTTGTGGGAGATGGCAAGTGAACATTATCCTTTTCTACCAAATATAGGATCAAAGAGAATGAGCTTAAGCCCTAGAGGGAAATGTCTCACTGTTCTATTAGATTGGACATACTATCTCATGAAGGACTGTACTTACCTCAGAAATAAAGAAATCACTATTTAAACATCTTAAATATTAATAAAAGGGCAGATAACCTCCTCCTCTTTGAAAGGCTTAACAGAAGGACAGTGTCCCTGTGGCTACAGCCAGGCAGAGTGTTGTGTTAGTCCTTGGGACAGAACACAGGCAAAGAGGAGAGGACCACATGGGCAATTACAGGTGTATATCTGTCATTAACCAGGTGACCACAGGCATGTCACTGGGCCTGGTAAAGCCTTCTCTTTCATAAAAATACTGATTTTTAATTTTGGTTTTAAGTAGCCTAGTTTCAAATCAAAGTCTTATGCAGACCACCTCTTTCCAAACCACTACACAGAAGGATTAAAGTGGGTGGTTGTGGTTTCAAAGTAAGAGTTCCAGAGCCCCACTTGTGGGGCCTTCCCCTTATGGCAGTCTTGAGGCATCTCTGTCCAATCCCAGGTTCTTACAGTAAATTATTCCTGAAACTTCTTGCAAGTGAACATATCTATAATTACATTCAAGTATAAATTGTTCATCAATGATTTCAGGAAGGATTTCAACTTCCTTATTTTTCTCTGCAAGACATATGCCAAGTGAGTATCCTACAAAGAATCCAAGCTTCAGAAGATAATAATGACAGAATCATCTTTGAACTGGATGGAACAGGAATATAAATTGTTGGGGGAAACCTAGATTCCTGAAGACTGATAATGAACTATCCAAGTGGTTTCAGTTGTTCATGCCAGAAAAAGACAAGGCAGTTGTCTATCATCATCTCAGCGTATAAGATAAAAAATTTCCCTCAAATTAGGTATAACTTGAGCAGACACATCCACTGAAAGTTCAGATTGCCCCAACAACTGTCAGACTGATGAAACAGAAGTACAAGACTCTACATTTTTAAGCAAAAACATGAGGAGGTTTGGAGTCCCAACAGTAACACTTATTTCTGCTAAATCTGTTGAATTAAGATTTTCATGTCAACATAGATAGAATTTAAAAAAAAAAACAGGGCCAATATTAAACACGAAATCGAAAAGCTACACTCCTCGAATTTTTTCTATTAGACAAATGTGTTAAGGAAAGCCTACTTAGTTGTTAAAGTTAACCCTAAAAGTAAATCTAGACTGTAAAATCAGGAATATCAGAGGAAATCTATAATCTTTGAATTTGTGTACATATAGTTCTTTAGTGTCTTTCTTTCTGGGTCTTACTGGAATGAGAAAATGAAGTGAGTAGCCCTCAAATCTTGGTCTTTCTCTCTAAATCCTGATCCATCTCTCCTTCCTTCATCCCACTGTGGCAGGTAGTGTTTCTATAATACACCCACCACTGTCCTCATCCCATTCCAAGATTATCTTCTACCTACCAAATACATCTTGAGTCTTCATCCCTCCAGGCACTGCCCACTATTCTTGCTTTCTGGGAAACAATCTTCTAAAGTCACCTATTATCTCACTTTCTCCAGCCTTTTTTCCCATGTCTCTTGCCACTTCTCAGTTTCATTAGCATGTTCCTCTTTTTTCTCTTCTCTTTTCATTGTGTTGTTTGTTCCTTAGTCTCCAGCCTCTCTGACTACATGCTTTTGTGAGCAACCTCATTCATTGCCATGTCTCCGATGCCTAAGTCCAACAATTCGAAAACTGAATTCATTATCTTCCGCCCAAACCTGTTCTTCCACCTCTTGTTTTTCATATTTTGGTTAATTGCATCAATAGTTCATCAGGTGCCCACGTTAGAAACACTGGATTCCTTCGAGGCCTCTTTCTCCTTCTTTCCCCTAACTGTTCCCCACTCGAATGCCACACAACAATCCCTGTACCCCTACTCTCCACCCTACACACTTGCATTTTACAAAGTTCTATCAAGTCCATAATCCATCTTGAATCACCCCATCTTTGCCACCCTCCCTTGGGTTATCATCTTGGTTCAGGCCATGATCTCCCCTAAACTCCTGTGGTTACCCCTCCTAAGTTACTCTCTTGCCTCCAGCCCTTATTTTGTTCATTGTCCACACAGTTGCCAGAACTTTAGTTATAGAACATGCTATTATATCACACTCCATTTTTAAATTGCTGGTAGCTCCTTACTGCCCTACTTGGAAGATTTCAAACTCTACATTTCAGTTCTGGTAAGTTTCAATAAACATATAATACCACCTTTCCTCAAAATGGTTTCAAGGATGATTTTATCTTTATGGACCAAAAGACATTTCTGTCCCCAGTGGCTCTAAAATTCTAAAGACACAGCAAAGTCCAAATAAGTCAACATGTGGTCTCTTAACTATACATAAGGCAGTCCTCAAACGTGAGCCTGTCATATTTCAAAAAACTTTAACATCAGATAAATTGCAGTTGTGGCGCAGGCATTTCACCAGCCTGGGGCAAGTTACATAACTTTCAAATCTCAAGTACTTCATTGGTAAAAACGGGGATAATACACCTACTTTGCAGAGTTATTGAGATAATTAAATGAAACATTTAAAAGGTGTCAAGGCACACATGACTGATGCCCAGTAATTGCCTTCTTTTTCCAATGGAAGCAAATGTTAAACATAATACAAGTGCCGGCTAAGCAGTTTCTGGATCAATTAAAGAAAATCCCATTTAATTCTCACATACTTAGCTCTAAAGTCAAGAAAATTTGGTCAGCATTCAGTGAACATGTACAGATGCAGACACTGCGCTGACAGTGAGAAATGTAGGATTGTGTTCCACCCTTACAGAGAGCAGGTCCTAGTGAAGGTGAGAAGCAAGCAAAATGCACAGTATGAAGCTATGATAAGGGAAGCTCTGACTACTATATCCCAAGGGGCAGTAATCATGGGGATGAGATCAGGAAATGGACATGCAGAAAGCTTCCTTCCTTCCTTCCACACGTGTCATCCCGTTTGGGGGTTACTGCTTTAAAAAATCTGGAGCAGAGGTTCTGGAAAGTGGATTTGTAGAGGGTTTAAAAACATAGAGCTCTGAAAGGGCAGAAAAAACAGAAACCTGTAGGCAAGACCAATTTTGGGGAAAATCATGAAAACCACATCTGCATGGCAGACGGAGGGGGGATGAAGGACTCCAGGAGTCACACTCCCTCTTCCTTGCCTTGGGTCACCTCTAGAATGAGCTTGGCAGCCTAGATTGTCCAGAAAGGTAGAGAAAAAAGCAAAACCACAAAAGAAAGGGTGCAAAAAGAATAGCAAGAGACAAAACCCCCAGCTCAGCTATGAGGATGAAAAGGAAATTCCTATCGGCAGATTTTAAATAAGACCATATTAAGTTCTTCCCTTCATTATGATTGTTCTACTTTATGGCACACACCACCTTATTAGTGCAATGCTGTGATAGGCTCCTAACCAGTCTCTGCTTCCAGACTTAGCTTTCGTAAAATAACTCTAGGGAACACCATAGTGCTTACATTCCTAAAACAGCCCTTAATCTTAAAATTCCCACACACTAAAGCACCAATAAGGACTTTAAATTACCTGCCAGATCAAGTTCATACTTCAGCCTAGTAATTAAGGCCTTGAATGCAGTTCAAGTCCGTAAAACTTAAGTGTCAATTATGTGTAAGAATGTACAAAGAATATCAGTGAAAGAGGAACACGTAACACTATGGGACAAGGAAGAGTTCAGTGAGTGAAACTTTTCAAGGGTAAGAAGTTTGATTCCAATGGGGGAGGGGTGACATCATGATTCATGAACGAAGGGGTCCTCCTGGGCTTTTGAGAAATAATTGGACCTCAAAAGGCAGAGATGTGGGAAATAAGCATCTTCAAATGGGGGAGCAGTGATGTGCTCCAAAAAGTACGTGATGTGTCCAAGAAAAAGCAAGCAGTGGTATGCAGGTGAATCGTGTCTCTTTCCCAGGACATAGCATGATAGCATAACATGATACTAAATCTTGAGTCAGACTGCCTGGGTTCAAATCCTGACTCCACTTGGTACCCTGCACGGCCTTGGACAAGTAACATGCCCATGCCATGCCTCAATTTTTATGTTTCTAAAACAGGTATAATCATGATAGTCCACATTCGGATTGTTGATTACCTCACAGGGCTGCTGTGAGGATTAACTAAGATACTGCCCTGAGAAGCCTGGTTGGCACATAGTAAGCACACTAACTTCAGCTGTGACTGCGCTACAAAGGGAGTGAGAGATATCACTGCTTCCCTGAGCGCCACGAACTCCATTCAGCAAACCACACAGTGCCACTAGAGGCTTTAGAGCAGAGAAATTATTGAGTCCAACCTGGCATCAGGCAAGTTAATCTGATGCCAGTCTTGTGTAGCATGCACTAACACCTGTGACTATTTGCACTGATAGGAAAAGGGCCTGAATTAGCATAGTGGAAGCCAGGATAGAAAAGAGTAACATCAGCTGGGTGTGGTGGCTCACACCTGTAATCCCAGCACTTTTGGAGGCCAAGATGGATGGATCGTTTGAGCCCAGGAGTTTGAGAGCAGTATGGGTAATGTGGCAAAAGCCCGTCTCTACAAAAAAATACGAAAATTAGCCAGGCGTGGTGGCATGTGCTTGCAGTCCCAGCTACTCAAGAGGCTAAGGTGGGAGGATTGCTTCAGTCCAGGAGGTTGAGGCTGCAATGAGCCATGATCATGCCACTGCACTACAGCCTGGGCAACAGAGCAAGACCCTATCTAAAAAAATCAATTAATTAATTAATTTTTAAAAAAAGAAAGAAAAAGAAAAGAATAACATCAAGGGGGAGTCTGGAGGAAGAGATGAAAGGACAGTGCCAGCAAAAGTCCAAGGTATGAAAGAGAAAAATGACCTGAAGAACATTCTTTCACAAAGCTACCGAAACATTTAGATGATCAGCCACATGCTACTCTTGATTTTGCTGTCCTCTGAACACCTAGAGTTATAACATCTGAATAGAGTTTCAGGGAGTGTTGCACAGGCCCTTTACATATTGCTCAGCAGCTGTCACACACATTCACATCCTTCTCTCAAGTCAGTAAGCTCCTTCTGAGACAAAGGCAAGGGGATGCTATAGAAGCTACTGCCCTAGTGGCACAGAAAAGGACACACCAAGCATCAGAGATACGTAAGTCACCACATGAATTATATCCACATTAAAGAATTCCAATGGCTTCACTTGTCAAATCAAGCCTAATTTTTCTTGGTGGAATACCCTCTCAAGTTTGGGAACAAAGAAGTATAAATCCATTAATGAGGAAATCTGAAACAGTGCCACATTAATTGAAGCTCCTCTGAGTTGCGATAACCTGAGACACAACCACGCACCACACTTAGCCTCTTTTCCTTAATCCACAGTTGCAGTTAGTCAGCTGCCACCCTGAGGGAGGTACCAACACCCAGCGTGCAGCACATGATTCAGGCTGCTTTGTTGAATTTGCTATTTGAAAAAGGTAAAGGCAAACATGCAAATCTGTGAAACAAAAGGCACTTCGCTTCTGCTTTTATTATTCATCTACTGGTACCTTATGTTGCCCAAGTATAACACAGGCTATTGTTCTTCTCCACTGAGACTTAGCATGTTAATTATATATTTCCAATTCCTTAAAAATGTAATGATAATTTACAACTAATTATTTCAGCAAGCTGAAGAAACTGTTTTTAGATATATGTAAATATGCATGGGAAAAAAAAACAAAAGAAATATACCTAGATGTTAACAGTGATTATCTCTAAATGATGGAATTATCAGCAATTTAAATTATTTATACTTTCCTGCATTTCCAAATTTTCTCAAGCACATAGTACCTTACAACCAGAAAAGAAAGTTTAAATTTTTTAAGTTTTCCCATACAAATAAAAACTCAATAATAATAAATATGCAATGCCAAATTATTTCACATATTTTATTAATATAACTTAGGACAAGTCATATATATAAATATATATACACACACACACTCTAATACTAATATAACTTAGGACAAGTCATATATATACACATACTTAATGTATATAATACACACTTAATGTTTTGCAGGGCAACAGGGAATACTAAACCAAGCCAAAGGACCACAAAAGCTCTTCCATGCTAAGGGGTTCATACAACTATCAAAATGCTTAGAAAGAATCTTTCTAAGAGAGAGACACTTTCTGTTCCCCAAATGCTTTCAGTATGTTTTACAGGTAGGCTACAAAAAACATTTATTACCTAATCATTCTCTTAGAAGTCATCTATTAGAAATTTAAGTAGGAAAAACTACACATGCCCCCAGTCATTCTTCATCTGATGGTATATTTTGTTTGGACTCCAAATGTTGTGGAATACAATTGTCATATTATAACCAAGCCTCAATAGTCCCATTTAGAGACAAGGGACCATCGAAAATTATAGACGTTCTAAAGTACAAAATAGTATTAAAAGTCACTAGAAGGTTAAAATTATCGAAAAAGAAATGCCATGTCCCTAGACTCCAGCACCTATCATGTTTTTCCTTGCGGCCAGTTGAGTTCCCTGGGAAAGGGCTTCTGTCACCCAAATATACACTAGATCTGCATGTAAAACCTTTAAAGTGACTGCTGTACCTGAAACCTGGGACTATAGCACTAGCAGTATAAGGCAACCACTACTGAAACATGGAATATAGAGAAAACACCAGCCAAATCCCAAGGAGACTGGTGCACAAAGTCTCCATACACTCATATCACAAGTGTTATCTGGATCTATGCACTCAGAGTGGAAAGAGACCTACTTCCTCCAAGATCTGTTCAAAGTAAACCAGAATATCATTTTGCACATTTTCAGCCCAGATTAACACCTAGAGGTTTGACATTTGAGACATGGTTTCCAGATTTAAATGTGTAAGTGTCTGAGCCACAGATGATAAAGAACTTTTCCAAACTCACCTGGGATCTTGAGACTTCTCTTTGTGGGGAGATTTCCCCTTCTCCAGATTCAGACATTAAATCAAGACCAGATGTGGAAGACAATGTGGCTTTAGAAGTGGCAGCCTGGTCTTGGGAAAGAGATGAGAAGGGGGATGTAGGAGAGGGCAGCCTTGTCACATCTTCTTCTGTTGCTGCTACCTCTTTCTGGCTAGATAAGCTTGAAGCCAGTTGGCTTGCGTCCGGGCTTGGTGCAGGGGTGCTGACCACATTGTTTGGAGTTCTCTTAATGTCTTCAACATCTCCATTATACTTCCAAGCATCATCCATCTAAATAAGAAAACATCATTTTAAACTTGATATTCTGTTACCTTTATTTCTGTTTTTAAAAGTTGTTTATTAAATTAATATTTTAAAACTAAAATAACATACCTCCCACAGTAACATAACTATTGCTAAAAGCTTGGGCTGAGTTCTTTCACACCAACAGATAAACACGTAGTGAGGGAAAATTGTTTTAGCAAAAGCATTCATATCACATACAAACTTCCGAAATTTGCTTTGCTTGTTTACTCCAAGCAAACATCTTAAGCATTAAATTTCCACTGAATCTAAACTGGCGTAAAATGAAATTGCCATATATACATGTGTTATGTACAGTTTACATATCAAGATGGTGTAACTCTAACCTCTAAACAAGTTCACCAACATTTTGCTTTTCAGAACAGACTAAATGAACTGAGAACATGTTTTACCATGTAAGATCTGGGGAGTGATGAGATTCCCCTTAACTGAGAGCCAAAAGGTCTTGGTGTTCTATCTATTGATCACTCCAGGTCAACAGATAGAACTCTAAACCAGTCCCTTTACTTGCTGAATGTTCCATAGTATGGACATCAACAATTTATTCATTTGATGTGCATTTAAAGTTGTTTGAAATGTTCTGTCACTTCCAAAACTACTGCAACAAATATCTATAACTCTTTATAATTGGAACTTTTATTTTTATAGCACAGATTTCCAAAAGTAGGCTTGCTGGAGCAAAAGTTTTATATATATATATATATATTTTATTATATATATATAATTTTTAGAAACTATATATATATATATATATATATATATATATATAGTTTCTAAAAATAATTGTAGCAACACACTGCCGAAGTAATGTATGAGGAACATCTGTTTCTCAGCATCCTTGCCAACACTAGATATTTTCGATGTTTTTAAGTCTATTTCACTCTGATGGGTAAAAAGTTATATGCCTCATTCTTGCTCCAGGGAAGCTGAACATACTTCTTTGTGCTTTGTTACCAGACATTTGAATCCCCTCTCCCTTGAATTGGCCACTACTTTTCTATATTCATTTTGCTAGTGTATTTGCTTACCAATTTGTAGAAACATTTTCTGTCTTAGAGATATTAACCCTAAAATGCATTTTGATAATATTTTTCTGAGTCTATATATTGTCTTTTGACTACATTAAGGGGGTCTGCCATGAAATTCTTATAATGTCAAATATGTCTACATTTTCCTTTATATAATGATCAGGAGTTTCCCAATTAGCTTAGGTAAGCTTCTCTCACCCCAAATATCCAATTTTTTATACCCTTTTAGAGTTTAGGATTGTACATTAGCAGAGCTAAAAAGAATTTGAACATTAATCTTAGGACTGTGTTGCTTCCTTTCACATAATTCAGATTAACACACTCATTGTCGGATATGGTACCACTTCATTCTCAGAAAAAATGCTGCAATATTCTAACCCCTTCAAAATCCTGACACTAGTAGAAACACATATATATAAACGTAAGATATATTCTAATAATTACATTCAAACTGATAAAGTGAGAAATCTGAAAAAAGCAGAAATGTGTACATAAGCACCTGAAAATCTCTAGGCTAAACCATATGAATTGCTGTTTTATAGGTCAAGAAGAACAATCATACTGACAACTTCATATTTTTCAACCTAAAACTTTACAAAAGGTACATCTAAAAAAAAGACATTATAAAATAATACTCTGCCTTAGAATATATCTTATTCATTCTTTAAAATGTATCAGCCCTACTTTCACAGAATTTAAAGTTTAATAAATTCTGTATCATTGATATATCTTAAGCATTAAGTTTCCATTGCATCTAAACTGGCATAAAATAAAATGTCCTTATATATGTTATGTACAGTTTACACATCAAGTTGATGTAACCCCAACCTCTGCACAAGTTCACCAACATTTTGCTCTTCAGAACAGACTAAATGAACCGAGAACATTTTTTACCGTGTAAGATCTGGGGAGTGATGAGATTCCCCTTGTCTGAGAGCCAAAGGGTCTTGGTGTGACCACAGATGTTAACCTGACTGTATCAGTTTTCCGGTAACTTCTGGGGAGAGAAGCTGAAACACGAGTTGATTCCATTTGTGTGCTCCGTGAACGCAGAGAAGACAAAGAGGCTGGGCTTTGTTCTTCCACAGGACTTTGAGAAGGAAGCTGAATTTCAGTTGTTACACGGTCCTCTCTTTTTGCAAAAGTGGTAGAATCTTCTTTGGGAATTTCTGAAGGATAAGTTGCTCCCTTCTCTTCTACTCTCTCACTCTGGTAACTTGCTTCTGACACAGTCATTGTAGGGGGTCGCTTTCCTTCCTCCAGCACATCATCAAAAGAATACATTCTCCTTCTTGACGGAACTGTAGACTTTTGATTTTGGGATTCCCTTAGCGGAGAGAAATGCACCATCACCACAAAGACACACATTTGACACACAGAGGTGGTGAGAGAGTAATCAACGCATGAAACGGACTGGGAATAAAATGATGCTAACTTCACACAAGAATCAATACAACACTTACAGAGCATAAAGATGTATACAATTATCTTTTTTTTTTTTTTTTTGAGACCGAATCTCGCTCTGTCGTCCAGGCTGGAGTGCAGTGGCACGATCTCAGCTCACCTGCAACCTCCGCCTCCCGCATTCAAGCAATTCTCCTGACTCAGCCTCCCGAGTAGCTGGGATTACGGGCATGCGCCACCACACCCAGCTAATTTTTCTTTTAATTTTTAGTAGAGATGAGGTTTCAACATATTGGCCAAGCTGATCTCGAACTCCTGACCTTGTGATCTGCCCACCTTGGCCTCCCAAAGTGCTGGGATTACAGGCATGAGCCACCATGCCCAGCAAGATGTATAAAATTATCTTTAATGTCCCAACTAAGAAAGAATAATAACTTGACTTCTTTAATTAAAATGGTTCTCAAATACTTCACTGGGATATTATTAATTGTAAAGAGATTTTAATGAAACAAGGAAATTTTAATAAAGGATTATTCACAAAATTTTATCCACAAGCTTATAACTTTTAAAATTAAAACACTATAAATATCATGATTGACAACCAATTTGAACCTTCCAAAGTCGTGGATTAATTGACAGTCTTGTGAGGATTTTCTTCCTGCAAAAATTTACAGTAATTTAGTAAAAATAAAAGATTACAAAAGACTCAGGCTTTTGTGGAGATCAAACTGGTGTATGATTTCACATAGCTTGACAGAACTTGCATGAACATTTATCAGGGATTAAAAGTCACCATTCATATTTATAGAAAGGTTCATAAAACACCCTCATCTCTCACATCTAGAAAGGAATACCTACCTCCCAAAATAACTGAATTGCATTTAAGTGAATGAAACTGCTTATCTTTGGCTTTTAGGGCAGAAAGTGGCTTTGTTTCATTTCACCTGACAGCATATTTCCTTTTGGACATTATTCTAAAAGCGTATTTTCCTTCTCCTTGATCTGTAAATATCCTGATGTTTCACACAGTAATGAATGCTTTACATTAAAGTTTAAATTTGACCTTTATACTGTTAAGATGCAATGCAAAGAGTAAGTAAAACACACACATTTATGTTCATAAAAACTTTCTTTAAAATATAATGAATTGCACCATTAAACATGAAAAAGAACTTCGTTATATTTTACACAATTTAGTTAAAAGAGTGAGCTGATTTTATTGGACCATCTCATTCCTTAATTCACTTAAGAGTAAAAAGCAGTGTATTTCCTGCATCAGACACAGCCAACACCATCCAATTCTGCATGTGAATGCACAATGTAAGAAGAAATAATGAACACCTATTTTAAGTCCTCATTTATTTTGTTACTATTACTCTAAGTCACTATTTCAACAATGCTTTGTTTTTTCACCGCAGACCAAAATCTTAAACGTTTCTTTGCATATTTGACTAAAGTTGAATATTGGTGGACACCTATGTCACACTACACTTACATAAAATATCTATTTATAACACTGGCATCTCCAACCCTGTTACAACCGAGGTGCATTCAGCATTATTACCTGTCCTGCAGCATTTCCTTAAACGTCTTAGAGCTTCTCTTAGACTTCTCAAGTGCCTGCTTTTCAATTTCTTCTCTCTCTTCTTTTTTCTTCTGCAGATCTGAAGTGTAACTTTTTCGACGATCTTTCCATTTTGCAAGGTCCTGACAGAAAAATCACATCAGCAGGGGCACACCTGAATTTCTATACACCCTTTCTAGCAGACAGAATGTGCCAGAGTATCTTATTACATCACTGAAACTATTCACTCCAACTGGATGCCAAGGTGCCCTAATTTTGCTTTTTATAGCCAGCGTTTCTGTACCAAGCCTTTATCTCATGTGTCTGTCTCAAAAACCTGACCTAATAAGATAGACCCCATTTTTGTTTTCCCAGAAAGTATCTGCCTCATTGCACACTTCATAAAGAATGCTAAATGCTTGTAATTAGGTGACAGTTAGATAGATCAGGAACTGTTTCCAGTTCGTTTTCATCTCACTCCAAAAACCTGGCTGTTCTGCGAAACATGTTTCACTGGTAAGGCCAAAACAGAAACACGATTGTGATGGTTACGCGCAGATGCATAGTCTCTTTCATTTCACAAACAGAGTTCAATCCCTACTTTGAGGCAGGCCCAAGTGTAGGAACTATTAATACACACATGCATAGGGCACTGTTCCCCTCAAGAAACTCTCAGTCTACAGGGGAGAGACAGACATATAAACAAAAGTTCAGTAACAAGTGTGACAGGATTGCATGAGACAGTGGGGTCCTAAGAAGACCATGGGTCCGGTTCCACCTCCGGAAGGGAAGGCTTTGGAAAGGCTTTAACTGGGAAGGTGAGACTTGAGTATGCAATTTCAGAAGGGTTAAGTCCACCTAGGTCAGCGCAATAAGGAACACGTGGCAGGAACAAACCAACACCTGTCCCCCATATCCCCAGGAACGTTAAGCCTAACCTTGCTGGGTGACCCCAGGGACAATCAACCTAATTCAGCTTTTCAATCCCCCCCAGAAACCTAGGCTGGTTCTGACACCCAGGGGGTTAAGACATTTTACAAGGTATAAAGTTTTCCATGTCTCCAAAATAGAGAACTGCTAAGAACTGTTAGTGGCATTCCAGTCCAAACAGAAGCACATTCAAGGTCTCAGACAAAACCGAATTTCACCCCCAGGGCATGCAAAGTACGTTTGATTTATACCCCTTGCAAGCCCACAGAGCCACTCCTGCTTTAAAACAGCCTGAGACCAATATGAACTCCTTGCAGAAAGAACAAAAGCAATGCGCATTTAGTCCTATAGCATAACTGGCATGAATTTTTATCTGATTTAACCTAATAGATAAGCCCGTAATACTTACTTTCACACCAGAAAATTAACCATGTATTTTGGCAAAGTGATATTGAATTACTGTTTCTTGACAATTAAATTGAGTTCCCAATTAAAAGAGGCACTGGAATTTAGAAGGGTAGCCAGAGCAGGGGTTTCTTCATTTCAGAGACTATTAATTCCTTTGAAAATTAAGATTTACTCTGACTCCTTTGCTCATGCTTTTGCTCAACTCTTACCATAAAGTTGTCCTCAAATTCCTTTGGGTTTGCTCTGATAGTTTGTCTACTGTATTTCTTTGCATTTCTTCAGTTTATGACAATTACTCTATTAAAAAAAATGGTCAAGCTTTTTTCTTCAGGATCAAAACTAAAGAGTAAGTCTATATCTATGTAAACACCTGGATATATGTCAACTCTGCAAAAACATTTCATTTTGGTTCATATTATTGACTTCTTCAGCCAAAATATTGCTCTGAGTTATATTACTTATTTCTCCCCAATTCTCCTTAATTAACTCTTAATTACTAACCCTTTTCATCTTTCCTTACTGATGCCAAGGTCTCTGCCAGAACCCTGTTCCTCTTCTCTCCCTAAATTTTGGCCAGGTCTTTCCCATTAGAGTATAGTTAATGTGCATATCCCAAATTCAACCACCAAAACAAGTAAGTAAGTTCACTATACTGCAAGGAAGCAACTCACATTTTTGAGAACTCAGAGAATGTTAGAAAATAAACATCCAGGTATATTTTTCACAATGGCCTTTAAAATATGCAATAATAATAGAAAAAAAAAGGTTTAAAAATCTTTGTAAAGAAAGTTGGTCACATTTTATACAGAACTGAATTCTGTAATAGCAAGGAAAATGGTCTTGAGTATATTGACTTTAAGAGAAGCAAAGAAAAGTTAGACAAATACACTCTCTCCCCTCCAATCCCCAAAATACTCACATCCTGCCATTTCTGATCTTGTTCTTTTAATTGTGATTTTATTTTCTGCATCTCCTCGTAACGCAGCTGACGCAAGTTTTGAACATCTTCTGCGCTGACATCACTCATGGACTTACTCCTACAACAAAAAGACTCATGGTTACTACGGAAGTTCACATGACCAGACTTAGGGGTTAAACTGAGGTTGGAGTTAAATTTGGAAATTCCACCTAAATTTCTACCTAGACGCTTCAGTGATAGTGTCACAGAAGTAGCACTACAGAGATAAATGGTGTTTTTCCAAAACTCAGAAACAAGAGCACTCGAGTGTGAATTTTTTCACAAAATGGCTAGATTAGCCCTATACAAGTCTCAAAAAAAACAAACAAACAAAAAAACAAAAAACAAGCAAACAAACAAAAACCCAAGGTTCATATTTAAAGAGGTCAATGCATGAAAGGATTACTTTAGGAAAAAATAGTCACTAGAATTATCTCTCTTTATTTTCTATCTCCTTCAAAGATAATCTGTTGAGGTTTGGCTGCCTTTTCTGGGCACTGATTAATAATTTAATGTTTACCTGATATTTTTCTCAAGTTCAATACCATGAATAAATGTGCTGTTGATTCTAAAAGATCCTATAAGATCCGCCCTACCACTGCACTAGACTTGTTCTCAACGCACCACAGGTAGTTTCTAATAGTCCTTTATACTACCTCTATAACCCTCTTCTTTTATTAGGGCAGCTTGCATGCTTTCAACTTGTAACACAAGGATGGACTGAGGTTAAGCTTTGGAAGAGCTCAATCCACAACAGAAACCAATGAACAGAGTGGGGTGTTGGGCACAGGCACATGTGTGCTCTCTACATGCACATAAAAGAGCCAGGTAAACTATACCAGAGGGGAAAGAGAGATTAAGGGTGGTCTCAAGGAAAGGGAGAGGTCAGATCTAAACACTGAGGAGAAGTAGGAATGAGAGCAAGAGCCTTTGAAGCTCTTTCCTACTGACCTTTTATACTGCTCTCCTGACTTTAAGTAACTGTACACCTCTTGCCTGGGCATCTAAATTTTGCCTTCCAAGATGTTGCCATCATTATTTCTTTTAAAGCATGTTTGCTCTTAGCTAGTTCAGGAATTCCTAGCTTAGCTAGCTCATGGAATTGTAATTTCTAAACTATTCCCAGTGCCATAATTAAGGAACCAGTCCGTCCTTTGACTCATTTCCACTTGCTTCTTGAATAAATCTTTCTGCATGGATATCCCCTAGGCACTTCAATTGCCAAAGGACAGATTAAAATAATATCTAGAAGGGATTTTGTAAACTGTAACTCACTAAATGCATGGTTATTGTTGATGTGACCAAACTCAATCTTGTCCCCAAACCTGCTTTTCCTCTTGTGGTTACTAATGTTGCTACCTGCCCTCCAATCATCCACATCTGAAACCTAACAACCACTTTTCACCTTTGTTTCTCCCTTCTCCCCACTTTCCATTAGTTATCAAGCCCTTTCATTCAGTGTCTCTTTCTTTCCATCTCTATTGCCAACACCCTAGATCAGAGTACAGTCAACTCACCTAGACTTCCAAAATGGCTTCTTAAATTAATACCCAACCTCCAGTTTCAACAAACATCTTTCCTAAACTATTTCCTCTGATTCAAAAGCCCTTTACCAGTATACATAACTTCTTAAATGCCATTCATACCTCAGGACCCCTGGACAGGTATTTCCAACTTCCTGTTCATTCTCCACTTGGAAGTCTAATAGGCGTCTCAAGTTTGTCATAGATAAAAAACTGATTGTCCTCTTCACAACCTGCTCAGCTCTCACTCTCCTTATATCAGTAAAGGTCACCTCTATCCTTCACAACATTGGGTCACACATCTTGGAGCCATCCCAGATTCTTCTCTTTCTCTCATATACCATAACTGGTCCCGTCAGTAAATCCTGTCCCTCTGCCTTCTAAATATATCTAGAACATAACCACTTCTTACCACCTGCACCATTACACCCTGATCCAAGTGACTCCTACCTGGATGATCACAATTATCACAGTAATCACATCTGCTACCTGGATTATAACAATTATCACATCATCTCCTACCCAGATTATTACAATTATTATAATAATCACATCACATCACCCACCTAGATTACAACAGTCTCCCTGCTTCCACCCCTTCCTACCCAACAGCAGCCAGAGAGTTCCTTTCAGACTGCACTCAGATCATGGTATACCTCTACTCAGCACCCACTACTTTCTTCCCATTTCATTAGAGTTAAAGACAGGTTCTTCCAAAATCTAAGAGGTCCGCCATCCCTGGTTCCTACCTCCTTCTCTGTGCTCATCAGTACCATGCCCCCACTCCCTCTGCTCCAGCCAACTGGCTTCCCTGCCCTGCTCACACCTCCTGCTTTTCCCCCTACTATTCAATCTGCCTGGAATGCTCTTCACCCAGATATCCACATAGCTTCTCTCTCACTTCCAGGCATCTGCTTAAATGTGCCCTCTGTGTTTCCTTCTCTGACCACCTTACCAGAAATAATAAATGCCCCTCTCCCCTGACCCACCCTAGTCCTTTCTCCTTCAAAGCATTTCTCACCATCATGTACATTTATTTACCTATCACTTGCCTTGCCCTGTAAGATTATAAAGCAGGAATTTTCTGATTTGTTTGCTGGTACATCACCTGTACCTGAAGGGGAGCCCAGCCTGCAGTAGGTGCCCGATAAATGTGTTAAATTAATGATCTAGATAATATTCAGCACTTTGATGAAGTCTTCCCAGCTCATCCATATCAAAGCTGCTCTGTCCCTCCTCTCAATCCCTCTACTGCTTCAGCTATACCTTTTTCATAGTACTGAACCCTCAGCCTTATGTCTGTTACAGTGCATGTGTGTCTGTGTGTGCATGTGCATGTTTGGATTCTCTTCCTCACAAGTCACGTGTTGCTTAGGAGGAAAACATATTAGCAGCACAAGGCAGGCAGGATATACTCATTCAATGTCTACGGTAAGAATGAGGTAGGTTTTCTCACATTTAATCCAGCAAAATTTGCTATACTTAAAATGTTTCTAATTCTTTTTGTAAGATTATTATGGCTATCCACAGTTCTATGAAGAAAGTTTTATAGGATTTATTAAGGACTATTAAGGAATAAATTATATTGAGAGAATATATGAGGACATATATGAATATAGATGGATCTATTAATGTAATATATCTAACTAGGTATGACTACTTATAAAGCTGATTTGTGTGAATTTGAGAATATAGATTCACGTAAGTCATACTATGAAGAATGAGGCTATTTGAACTAATACTATGACAGACTCACTAAGAAGAGGCAGGAAAAATTTTTCAAGAACCAGGTATGAGGGGTATCTAGACACTCAACACATGAGATTACATAAACTCCAGAACAAAAACAAAAAAGGATGCTAATATTTTAATAATCTTTTGATGGGAGGAAGGCTAGAAAGCCCAGCATCTCCCAGGGGTGCTCTCCTTTGGCCCTAATCCTCCTACACCATGCAATGCTAAGGTGTCTTCCCATGAAATGTGCTTCTCAAGACAGAGGCTGCATCCTCCTCCTGGGTGCCCCCAACACGGAGCACAGCCTGGCACACAGGTGGTCCTTAATGTGAACAAAGTGAACCAAATACACTCTGGAGTAGACAAGTCCCTGTGTAAGGCAGGAACATGAGCACAGTTCACTCCCTAGGGTACAAAAAGTTACCCACATCAAGCCTGCACACACTGTACAGCAGCTGGAGCCAGGCACTGCAACAAGCCAGGAAGGGAGGGCTGCAGGCCCAGCCATGGTGCCAGTTTTCACCCCACCCTAACACACATCAGATCACTTCCGAGCCCCCATTTCTCACCTGCTAAGTGAGGAAGGGATTGTTATGAGAACTGGATTTGGCTGTGTGGGTAGCATTTTTAAAACCGTCTGGGCCATATACTAATTCTCATTAAAGCAAACATGATTGTTTGGGATCTCCCAAAAGCTAACTCTCCAAGCTGCTTCAAATCAGAGAGGTCACCCCGGACCACAGTGATAAAATCCAGAACTTTTGTAGTAGAGGAAGGAGTCTCTCAGCCAGATCACAAAGAATTCTTCCCTCCCTTATCAGCATTAATGGCATAATAT
Organism: Homo sapiens; assembly: GCF_000001405.40. Taxonomy (NCBI): domain Eukaryota; kingdom Metazoa; phylum Chordata; class Mammalia; order Primates; family Hominidae; genus Homo; species Homo sapiens. The sequence goes on along the minus strand of NC_000013.11, from coordinate 75,813,144 downwards.
TCAGCTTCTGAGTGCTTACTGTGTGCCAGCAACCTCGCCAAGCAGTCTACGTGAATTATCTCAGAGGCGAAGCCCTAGTCTGGTTCTACCACTCACAAGCCACATGTCCTTGGGAAAGCGGCAATATTTGTTTCTCTATCTCCACATCCCTATCTGTCGGCCTCACAGATTTGAGATAAGTACCAAAGATAGCATCAGGAAAATTGTTTGGGAAAACTATGAAGGATTGCACAGCTCTAGTATGTTGTGTTGAATGAAGGATGATTAGCTGGCAAATCACATCGTATGTCTCTTACAAGTCCTGCTTCATTTGTATTTCCTTATTTGGAAAGGCTCCAATTTAGAACTGCAACTGGATTTTTTCCAAAAAATACAGATCTAGCATCTTGCCTTTCTGTTGAATAGAATTTTTTAAAAATAACATTTAGAAGGAAAAAGAGGAACTTTAAGGAAGAAGGTGTCAATCATAAAACAAGGTTGCTAAAGTCTTACTCTCTTCTCCCACTATGCAGATTGCCTACTATGCTCCTGTCACTTTTTGGCTAGTTTTAAGGCATTTCCTTTTAGAACTCACTTTCAGGAACTTTATAGGTGACTATCTAAGGAGTAAGGATCGAAAAGAACCAGCATGTGGCAAATTTTCTCAAATATAAAATCATGGATAGCCTTATACGGCAAACAGAAATTCCATGATACTAGGGTTAAGGCTCCCCAACTTTCAGAGGGAGATAGGAACATACTGATTTATGTACCTCTAAGTATATTTCCATCAGGTACTATAGGAATTCTCTGAAGAGCAATCAATGCTAAAACTTGGGCAAGAGGCTTTGGAATTACCATACACTATAATAAAAAGGCAATGTGATGTAGATTTTTCATTTATAGATTTATAGTCTCAATGAGGGTTCCTCAGTAGCACCACTGCTGACATTTTGGGGCCAGAAAACTATTTGTTGTAGGGCACTCCTGTGTACTGTAGGACATTTAGCAGTATCTCTGGCTATGAAGGCACTAGTTGCCAGTAGCACACACACCCCCACCCACCCAATGAGACAATAAAAAATGCCTCCAGACATTGCCAAATGTCTCCTGGGGGTGGAGGGAAATCCCTAGAAATAACCGAAATTGGCTTTTTTTCCCTTTCTTTTTTGCTGTCATAAGCCTTTATAATTCTACAGAATCTTTTGGCCAAACCCATAAGTGAAATGTGGGTGACTTAATTGTCTTTTATTACAACTTCATGTGAAATCAGTGTTCATTTCCTATTAATACTGGCAACAGATTCAACAGCTTAATCACATACAAGATTATTTCTATATATTCTTACAAAAAAATTTGTCATAAATTGCTTCTGCCAAAACACATGACCAAATTTTCAAGTTTCATGAAACCATACAGACATAAATCCATGCAAGACGAAAGCACATAGAAGAAACGACTACCACATACAAAGCGTCTTAAAAATAAACAGACAAACTGACAGGTGTTAAACGCCAAACAAAGAGCAAGCCAGAAATTAACAGTCTCAGACTTCAAAAGATACTGCACATTTCTCTTTAACCCAGTCCTTACAAAAAAGAAAGCATTCATGTTATAGGCAGTTATTTTTCAATGACAGCATGTTGAGCAATAATGCTTTTCCAGGTAAGTATGCCAAGCTTGACAACGTACATTATGTTCAGAGAAATATCACCCAGCATAAATATGAAACAAGTTCTAGATTAAAAGCCTACACTTAATCCAATTTAAATTTCTATTTTCTTTTCACTGCAGCAGATCTACTTAAGAAAAGCACCGGTAGGCAGGGCATGATGGCTCACATCTGTAATCCTAACACTTTGGGAGGCCAAGGCAGGAGGAATGCTTCGGCCCAGGAGCTCAAGACCAGCCTGGGCAACATAGCAAGACTCCATCTCTTAAAAAAAAAAAAAAAAAAGAGAAAGAAAAAAAGAAAGAAAAAGAAAAAGTAGTGGTAACTGACAGACTAGAGAGAAATCCTTTGTTATAAATTTGACTTATTTGACTTCAAGTGGTCCAAAACACACTTGAATTTTCTGAGGACACATTCATATTATAATACTTCCCACTGTTTGACATGTCATATATTATTCAGTCTCAATTTACAGACAATCTTGCTTTATTTGTGTAGTTACCTTGGCATTGAACTGCATGCACAACAGCCTTTAAAACAAATATTGTACTATCCGAAACAACTATCTTGGGATAGAAAACATTTGCTGCTGTTAGCTCTAATCCAGAAAAATCTTTAGCTTTTCAAGCTTTGGTTTTAGGTTTCTGTCTTCTTCTCTAACTCAGTCATATAATTTACCCCTCACTACAGGGAACACATCCAGCCACTGAAATGGTTGTACATGTTGACATTTCCACCACATACTTGTACTCTGGGTACTTTTATTTCCTTTAAGAAAAGCAACTATTTCTGAGAGCTGCTTACATTATAAAGTTATATTTAATTTACAAATGAAAATTTTTCTGAAAGTTACAATTCAACATGCTTAAAGCTGCAAAGAGATTTTTAATCAAGTTAAAACAGCTTTCCTATGACTTGAGAGTAGCAAATGTTTAAGCATCATGCAGATGAGCTGGAAAGCGGATAATGTGCCTTTGCATGGCACACGGAAAGCATGCAGGGACCCTGGTTTTTAAAATCAGTGGCTAACAAGTACTTGCAATTTGTTGCCTGTGGCTCAGTTACACCTTTGGCATCTAGAATGGTTATACTGCTTTACATTTAGTAGCTTCCAACATTTCTGAATTATCAAAGTTATAAAAAGCTATCAAAACTAGAGATTCTTATAGATGAAGTAAATCCTCATAAGGGAAGATACTTAGCTACTGAGGCTTGAGCAGATTAAAACATCTGTCATCCTTTAACTCTCTTCCTCTTGCTCAAACACTATTAGCCCTTAGATTCACAAAGTTACAGAAAGTTTGGTGGAAAATATTAAGATATAGCCACCTTGTGATTTTGTACTAAGAATGAATAAATGATTTACTGTAAATGTAGTTTTTGCCTGTAATCCCAGCACTTTGGGAGGCTGAGGTGGATGGACCACCTGAGGTCAGGAGTTTGAGACCAGCCGGACCAATCTGGTGAAACCCCGTCTCTACTAAAAATACAAAAATTAGCAGAGTGTGGTGGCATGCAACTGTAGTCCCAGCTACTCAGGAGGCTGAGACAGGAGAATTGCTTGAACCTGGGAGGTGGAAGTTGCTGTGAGCCAAGATTGCGCCACTTCACTCCAGCCTGGGCGACAGAGCGAGACTCCATCTCAAAAAAAAAAAAAAAAAAAAATGTAGTTTTTGCAACAGTGATATTAGAAATTAAAAATATTTTTGCAGTTTTTGAAGGTCTATTTTGCACTATAAATATAGCCATGTTATAACTTTTTTTTCCTAATCAGGAATCTTGAAAATATAATACTTCCAAATACCACCTAGGGAAGTTTAATGCATCCCTACTAACGAAGCTCCCAGTTGGCCGATTATAGGATAATGTCAACTGGGTGTATTCTAAACTTGAAGTAAATGCTAATATTCTTTTTCCATCACAGATTTTCTAAAATGTAGTAATTTGGGCTTTAGCATCCATAAATCAGAATTTTAGTCTATGTAGCAACCAAATACCAAAATACATATACCTAATCTTAGGCAAGTGCTTTTGTGACTTTTAATCAACTCATTAAATTTTTAAAAAGGAAAAAAGAAGGGATGAAGCTGAAGTTTAAATTTTTAATAAAACAAATAATTTTATCTTGCACTGGGCACCAAGACACAGAAATATTACCATTAGGTTGCAAGATAAACATTTCCCACTTAAAAAATATCATGCACAGCACACAACAACCCCATTTAGTGACATGCCATGCCAGAAATACAGTAAGTTATACAAAGAACAAACAACACGCACAGATTTTTTACTGTGAACCACACAACTTACCCATTCTCACCATAAATCTTTTGAAAGAGTCTAAGAAACCAGAAAACCAAAAATTAAAAAGTCATTTTTCCCAGTCATATTAGTTTCTAAACGTTCAATGTCTTCCACTTAAGAATCTAACTGGAGACGGACAAATCTCAAAAGGTCACTTCTTCCATCACATTCTTGATCATGTCTCAAGTTCTCATCAATTTCCTATCTCAGGAAATTCAGATTAAGCAAAATGAAGAATTTCCTCAATTTACTCTGAGCTAACAAATCCATATGAAAAGGCTTCCCATTGTCAGGAACTGTTAAGTTAGATTTGGATCCTCTAATTTTATTCAACCTAATCAGATTTGTCCATCTCTAAGTTCCACAAACTGAACATTCATCAAAAAGGCAAGTTGCATAATACAAACTATCAAAATGGCCATGATTACATACACATAAAATTCAGCAGACAACAAATACCATTCATGCATTTTAACATCAACGTTTACTCTGAACTTCATAAATAAAAATAAGTTACAAATGATAGTCCAAGAAACCTAGGCCAAAACCAAAAATTAAGTTAAATGAAATTTGCAATGCCATATTTTAAGGGAAAATTTCACCCCCCCAAAAAAATCAGACACTCTAAAATGTGAGCAACACATAAAACCAAACTATAACCAGACTGTTACAAAAATGCCTGAACATGAGAAGTCCAGAAACTTCATATTGGTGGATAGTACCACAGTACTGCTTAAGTCAAAGGCAAGGTTTATGTATATACAGTCTTAAACAGGCCTAAATAAGTTATTTAGAGATATGCAAATATGGAATTGCACTTTTTGTACAAAACGACTGAGGGTTTTTCAAAGCAAATTAAATTTTACGGGATGCTTCAAAATGGCACGCGACATGCAGAGTTGAGCAACACGATGAGCTGCTTTCTCGCATGAGAAAAGTTACACAAGACCATCCATTACAAGCAAAATCCTTGCAGAAACACACTCTGACCTCTCCACCATCAGCCTTTTCTTGTGCCTAAGTCTGCTGGCCTCCCGGATGGCCTCCCATCTCTTCAAGTCAGCCTCACTGCAGGGGCCAGGGGTGAAACTGATGGGAGGCACGGTAGTTCCCAGTTTCCAGGACTGAATCTTACGTGTCAGCATGTCATCTTTCTTCTGCCGATATGAAGGAACTAATATTCTACAGCTATTACTTTTTTCTTTGGATGGGCATGTCCTTTCAAGTACACAGAGAAATTTTGCTTGAATTTCTGGAGGAAGAGTCCAGGGTTCGGGAAAAGGGACTGGGTGGTATCTATCTGGGGCCCCAGACAGCGGCACTTCTTTCTTCTGTGCTGGAATTCGGCGAACAATCATATCATCTTTTTCCAAATCCGGAAGTACAAGTTCACCTTCTCTACACTGTAAAATTATATCTCGCTCTACAGAATCATCTTGCTCAGAGAACTTTCTAAAGTCTTCAAAAGCTCGGAGAACATATGGATTTGCATGGAAAGCCCCAGTCTTTCTGACAAAGAAATCATCATTCTCTAAGTCAGGATCCAGGGCTGCCATCTCGAGGTCATCTCTTCTATAGCCTGGTGCATAAGAGAGATTCTTCCTGCGGGTTATGAGCCTTGGGCCAGAAGTGGGATCAATTTTGGTATGTGTTTCAGAAGACAAGATGTCATCAGAGTATGTTTGGAGGGCCTGAAGCAGTAAAAACTGACTGATGCACAGAGAGGAAAAAGGAAAGAGAATCTTATTAAGCTTAGGGAGAAAAGGTAATTAGCAGATCGACTAGCCAAAGGTGATTAGCAGACCAACTAGCCAGTTACTGAGGGTAAATCATTTTAGAGGACCATTGTGGGGACTCTTGCTAGGAAAACAGACTAGCATTTAATCCAACACCCATGACTTTCCTGGATAATCCCTAAAGAAATAAGAGCAGAGCATACTTCTCAGGAAAGTTGGGCACCATGGAGGCCACGGATGGGGCTGGAGCATGGACTAGGTACCCCTCCCAGGCACACACAAAAGCCACTCCCTGGTACCCTGTTTTTTGTTTGTTTGTTTGTTTGTTTGTTCTGAGACAGAGTCTCACTCTGTCGCCCAGGCTGAGTGCAGTGGCGCCATCTCTGCTCACTGCAACCTCCGCCTCCTGGGTTCAAGCAATTCATCTCCCTCAGCCTTCCGAGTAGCTGGGATTACAGGGGCCCCCTATCATGCCTGGCTAATTTTTGTATATTTAGTAGAGATAAGGTTTCACCATTTTAGCCAAGCTGGTCTCAAACTCCTGACCTCAAGTGATCCACCTGCCCTGGCCTCCCAAAGTGCTGGGATTACAGGCGTGAGCCACCCCGCCTGGCCCCTGGTATCCCTTTCTCATTCCATTTGCCACAGTGGCCTAAGTGTCCCCTGAAGAAGAAGGAATAATCTTTGAAAGTTTCACAAGTTGTGCATCATGCACTTTATGCAATAGGTATATGTAATCAGCAGGAAAAAGGGAAAATAAATTGCTCTGAAGTTTTATAAAAGAGCTCAAGGAATCTTCCCTTTGCATTTTCCCTAGACTTGCCCTTCCCAGTCTCCACCTGAAAGTTATTTCCTTTTTCCACATCTCCACACACAACAAAACCGTGAAATTAGGTAAACTTTCTAACAAGCCTTTTTGAACCGGCTTTTCAAAAGAACTGCCACATGTAAATATATCCTGTCTCACACATTATTGTGCTAAAGAAGAATGTTGAATCCTACAGACTTCCAAGCTGATGTAGTTGCACAGAAAGCAGCGTGTTATACATTACGCTTTTGTACTAAGTCCACTAAGTGAGTCAGGTTTCCTGATTCAGTGCAATCAGGTCCCAGGCTAATGGAGCAGCAGAAGCAGGCAGAGGGTTGTCTGAGGCCAGACCCGCAGCAGGCAGGCTCATGCAGACAGGGGCACCTGGGCTCATCCGAAGCACTACTGCTTCTCCTGGCTGCATGGGAGTCCGGTGATTTTACAGCCCGTTTGGTAGCTAATTCCAGCAAGAGTGAAGGTCTTTGGCAGTTGCCGTCTAGCCTATGCTCTGCTTTTTGTGCTCTACTAAAAACGGTGGCGCTTCTGTCAGAACCTGAGTCCTCATCCTCAGAGTCTGAATTCCTTCTACTGTGAGTGACATGAAGAAAAGAAGGGAAGAGGGAATGAGACAAAGAATTGGAGAAAAACAGAACTACTAAAAATAATGCCGTGCTATGACTATGTATAGAACAGGGCTTTTTAAGATCTAGATCCTCAGGTTTAAATTTAAACAGAAATTCATTTCCATTATATAGGTTCCGCAGATACTAGAGAACTAATTAGACTTTCTCTGTCTCTCTTATTATTATAAAAAACATGCACATAGAACCCCAGCTGGGGTACTGAATGAACACTGGTGTGACAGAAACATGCACAACGACAAACCTGAATCCCTGAAATTCTTTATACCATGGCTTATAAGTTTCCCTTTTTATTCTTTTCCAGTTCACATCTTCTGGGGTCCAACATTTGGGAAGAAACTGATCAAAAGCATTCCCTGGGTTTGGCATGACTGGACTGAGCTTGCGCACATAAAGATCATCCTTTACAATGTTGGGTATGCTTCTTGTCTTTGCTTTTTCCTCTTCCAAATAACAAGAGGACTTTGAAGTTCCTTGTACAGTTGGCCAGTTCTCCACATTGGTGCCCCAAATCCTCCTCTGATTACTGTTCAAAACATCCAACCGGTTAAGACACTGTATGAGCATTTGTGACACAGAACACAAATGGCATGCTTTCTGGTTCACAAAGTTTACACCACTGTGAACAAAGCAAATTAGTTTCCATTCTCATCACCACCACAGCTCCTAGGACAAAGTTATTATAACAGCATCTCATTTTAACTCAAGGATAGCTAGATACACACGGGCCAAAGATACTTCATTAGAAGCTGTGTTAAAAGGAAGAGGCACATAACAAACAATTTGGGGTGTTACTTTCTGAATTAAAATCAGCAGCATAATAGACAGCCAGATCCAGGACAAGTATTTCTGACCTCGTCAGTCCATATAGCCCCATGGCAAACATATCAGCAGGAGAAAATATTTGCGGACAAGAATTAGGATAGGTGATTTTCGAGATGAAATTCTGGGGCCTCTTTTTCACTTGGAATCTACGGTTGGCTAAGTCATCCAAAACTATGTCAGGAAACCTTCGTTCATCCTCAGAGTCCGAACCACTTTCAAAACCGTACGCCTCCCCATGAGAGGAAGCTGGATTTGCAAAACCACACTCTGTTCTGCTAATTTGCTGAGAAATTAAAGGATTCTTTTCATGTCCACTAAGATCAATCAAAAAAGGAAAAACATTACATGGCATGGCTCATCATGAACAATACAAATTATCTGGTAAGCTGAAAAATACCAATAAACTGAAGTCATGCATCTAAAAAAAGACCTAGCAAATCATATGCTGACATTCTAAAACAGAAGAAATGGCTTCAAGATATGTATAACTAAAAATAGAGGGATGAAAAATATTCTCACTAGTCAAGCTTAATATATGATCTATGAAACACATTTAAGAGCCATTCTTTTTACCACATTTAACATCCTACCATATTCGAAAAGCATACGAAACTCAATAATCACACCCATCTCAGTACCTTGAAAATGTTCCATCTGCTTCTGTATAAACCGGGCTTGCCCAACTTCTTCTGTTATCCTCATGTTTGTCTGGCTTTTTCTTTCTCAGAGGTGCTGGTACATAGGATGGCTGTCTACTTTTGTTGGGTAAAAAACGATTGAAGGGTAACGCAGTCTTTGGCTCAACAGCCGAAATCCTTCGATACGACATATCATCTTTATTATAATCCTGCATCTTAAATGTAAATTCCGAATCTGTGTCACTTTCAAAACCTATAAAGAAGGCACAAGAATTTGCTTTACTCTCCAGATTATTCGCCTAACTGAAACCCACACAGCGCGCCTGCTTTGTCTTTCCCTTAGAAACCCAGTGCTGCCACTGCTAACTGCAGGGAATATTTTTAGAAATTTGTCACGAAGTTGTGATAAGATCCATTAGGAGGAACTTGCTTTGCATACTGGAGGCACATGCAGTACATTCTTTTGCTGCTGTAGGCTCTAAGAAGAATAAGTCCTATTTTACTAGTGAGCCCCTTTTTTCTCAATCTCTTCCTCCATGATTTTCCATAAGATTTGTTGATGTAATACATAGAAATAAAATCTAGCAATGGAGTCACAGATACTTAAAACAACATGCAAAAATAATTCTGGGAGAACTCAGTAATTTAAAATAAGGCATGCAGCTATCTATAATATATGTGAGGAGAGAGATCAGGAAGGATGTAGAAAGAGAAGAAAAAAAAAAACAAGCTTGTAAAGGGTCTGGATAGATTCTATAAACCAGAATCACACATTAGATATGAGGCTGGACTGGATGACTTCTAAAGTTCCAAAGGAATCTGAAGTCTTATGCCCAAATGAGAGCACAGAACTCACAGTTTCTTCAGAGTGGCCATGGAAATTATATTGGGAACGCTGTATTATGATTCAAAATCATTTAAACACAAATTCAAAAGAACACCCTTTGATACTCCTCAAGGTCAGATAGATACAAATAGTAATCTGCTTTCTTAAAAGAAGAAGAATGAATCTACTCTTTTAAAGACAAAGGAAGAAAAGGGGGGAGAACAACACTACAGATCCAAGCCAAGCTGTCCCTCTTTCACACCCTTCTCTTCCTGCCTCCTGTGCACTTGTAAAGGTTTGGAAATGTTACTTGCTTCTCACCAGGGTTCTCTCCAGGCCTGGCTGTGCACAGTGCCTGACAGCTACAAGCTCTCAGCAGGTAGAGCACCTGCAGGGTTAACCTGAGTTAAATGCAGTCTCTTCCCCTCCCTCCTGCCTGGCAGGAAGCTACAGTAAATAACACTGAGAACAGTCTACAGGAAGTCGCTTAACATACAGCTATGAGACAGGGACAGAGTAAAAGGAGAGTAGAGTCTTGGCAAAAGAGGGAAAGTAAACGCAGCTGTGACCATGAGGAGTAGTAGTCAATAAACTGGTGCTTTCTTTTTACCACCTTCTAAAAAATCAGACATTTATTTCTCATTTCCAATAAGTATATCAATTACTCCTGCCGAAATCCATACATGTGGAATTTTAAAGTCATAAAGAGACTATTTTACTTTCTAACTTTTAAGAAAAAGTATTTTTTAGCCCAGTACGGTGTCCTGCAGAGAATTTTTTCCCCCAAAGTATCATTCTTGATATGAGTTTTCACGTAAAACTAGAGAATGTGACATTGCAATTCTGTTATCCTAAAAATATTACCCTACATTATAGTGCTCATCAATTTAGGACTACAATCTAGAGAGTAGCAGTAGAATTTTAACACACTGATCACAAAAGAGCTTTATCGGCCTGGTGCCTCCATCCCAGGCTTTTTTTCCCCGCTTAGTTGTAATTTCCAAGACTTCACTTACGCACTCTTTAAACAAGGTCTGCAGCCCCATTTCCAAGATCAGAAAGGGATGTGACAGTGGCCTTCTGCTTTTGGTTACATGGACAGGTGCCCATTCCAACAAGGATCTGAGAAGACGACTTAGATTCCACACCGCTGGGTGGGCCACTGCATCTGAACTGACTGAAGCCTGCATATTCCCACATGCCCTCTATCCCTTCCCCTTTTATTCCTTGACTAGATATAAATTCTGTCATTACATGGAGTAGGTTCTTCAGTAAGGGAAAAGAAATACAGCGGGTTCAGAATTTCAGCCTCTGCTTTTACAGCTTTAACCACTCAGATGAATCACATACTCAGATTCATTTCCTTAAACGTATTGGAATCGTCATCTGGGCTATGAAAATGTCACACCTTGACAGCAAACAGCCAATACGTGTGGCAGTAATTATAAAGGTTAATGCTGAAATAGCGTTTCACATTTTTTATTTTTAAAAACTACTACTCTAAAAGATAAAGCCTTCAGGTTTTTTGTTACCATGCTTAATAAATTGTTGATTGGTTTTTTGGAAAACAAATTCATAGCATGTTGTATTTATATAAGTTTCACATCAGAAGTAAAACAAAGAATAAATTCTAGTTAATGATGTTCATACTGAAGTATTTAGGACAAGTGTGATATATTCTGAAATGCCTCAAAAAATAAGATGACTAAATTATAATAGAGAAAGGAGGGAGGGAGAAAGAGAAAGAGAGAGAGAGGAGAGAGAGATGAGTATAAGATAAAGCATGCATAGTAAAACATCATGGTGGAATTAGGCAGCGAATACATGTGTGTTCGCTGTACAATTATTTTAAGTTTGCTGATTTTTGACATTTTTGTCATAGATATGCTAGGAAAAATATCTAGAAATAGAAAAGTAATATTCCAAATACACAAGCAATGTAAAATCCCTAACAATTAAGCACAAATCACAGCCAGAACTCAATGTTTTCACATTGATGTCGATAGAAGCACAGAAATATTTCAAAAAAAAAACTTCACTTGTGGTTTCAATCTAGTCAAATCTGAATAGCTGGAGATGTACACTCAGAAATTGCTGACGCTATACCCAGTAGCCACAGGAATAAGATGTGCATTGAAATAACTGAACTGACCATAAGCTTGGGATTTTGAAAGAAGGTTCCTTCCCGCAACAGAATGTCTCTAACATGTTCCTTTCACACTTGCTCTGTCCTGGGTTAGCTCTGACTCTGAAAGGACCAAAAGAGGATTTCTACCTGCATGTTAGGTGGTGGTATATTACTCAATCTACAAAGTTTAACATAATATTCTATCATGATAGATAGCAATCATTTCTTCTCATCTATAGAAATAATTGTAAAAATATTTTTCTTTTTTTGCTTAAGAGAGTTTTTTTAATCTTTTGAAAAAAGCCAAGGATGAAAGTTACTCAGAAACTAGAAGATTTTTTTTTTTTTTTGCAGAATCTTATATTCCTTTCTATGTTTAGATATATCAGTTTATAGAACTCTTGAACACAAATTAAGCCTGAATCTGGAGAGAGAAGAGCCAGGATAGATTATCACTGATAAAACAGGCCACAATTAACTGTCACCTCTCAGTCCTTTCCAGAAATGAAATTTTTCAAAAATGAAACTATCACCATCATGAAGGAGAAAAAAATAACAAAACCCCCAATTATACTCCAGTCTCTATGAAAATCCACTTCTAAGTGAAATTTTTGCCTAGTTTTTGCTCCATTTTTCTATTCTCTCCTGTTCCCAGTTCTCCCTTAATATGTGAACAAATAAACTGACAGCCAAAACACAACACACCTTCACGCCCCCCTCTCAACGTGATATCAGAGGAGCAGCTTGTCAATGACCTCGAGCCCAAAGAGTCCAAGCTTTCAAAGGAATCTTCTCTCTTATGGTGCCTTGGAGGAGCAAGAAATTCTCCACGTTCAGGACACCAGATGTCACCGTAGCCACTGTCCCTGCCACTTCTTTTCAGGAAGCTGGAGTCTTCGAGTGCCTAAAGAAAACGTTTTTTAAAGAATAGTAAGTTAAATAAACTTCCAAAAAATATAATCAATCGGTTATTACTTGCTTGTTTGCCTAATTTAAGTTGGGTTTTATTTGACATGTAAGGCATGAGGTTTCTCTGTCGGACACAGCAAAAAGCTGATGAAAAACAGAAAATAAATTTGTAATTGTTTGCCCACAACTGATACAATAAGGGGGTATTCAATATTCAAAGTAATAATAAGGAGATATTCAATATTATTTAATAAACTAGTACATATGTTCTATTTAAAAATAAGGAAAATTACTAGTTTAATGAAAGTTCATAGAGTAACATTGAAATGCTAAACTCAGTTATTACAGTTCTCTAGCAATAAATGTGAAAAGAGTCAAAAAGAAAAACTAACCTTAACTTAGTCATCCAAAAGGAGATAAATCAGCAAGATTATATTCACTCTATCTCCAGGAAATATTTGTGATGGCTTATATAACATAAAACCTTAACAACTGAAGTTAGTTAACTCTCCCCCCAGAAAAATAAAAAGGAGCAAGTGGGCACAAATTTCACAGAATTCATTCACTTTTACTAATTACACAACCTAGTTCTAAGGTCCTGGCAGCTGGCTTATCCTTCTTGTTGAATCAAGGGAAGCATACTTGTTTGCTGACATATATAACTTATTTTCTATGGACCTAAATAAAATATTTGTTTGGCTCATATAAAGGACACACAGGAACATCACAAATGATGTTAACTGTAGGTTTGTGAATTATATAGAACTTACTCAAGATAAGCACTTTTAACTAACATTCTTCTGTGAATGTTAGTGACAAAATATAACCTGGCTTTTTAAACATTAGGATGTGAGTAAAATTTACAAAGCCCATGGTGTAGTCCTGACTTACAGTAATCATGAATATCTCGTAACTATAATTTTTTAATATGGTGAAGATAATTTTGTCATAGTAAAAACCAGAAATGTTACTTTCAGATGAGCTTACTAATACAGAGACAATTTAAAGAACCTAGTAATTACTAACAATCAAACATATGTGAACCTTGATTAAGTCATGATTCAAAATAAAAAGTGCTGTGAAAAGTAGCTGGAGACAAGCATGAAAGTTTTAATGTCAACTGAATATTAGATAATGGGGAATATCTGAATTTTCTTAAGTATAATAAACACTGTAGCTACATAGAAGAATATTCATATTCTTAGGAGATGCATACTGAGTATTTGGGGGAGAAATACATCTGCAGTTTATATTAAAATGGTTAAGTAAAAACATAGATGGATGGATAAACACATATGTAGATAAAGCCAGTATGGAAAATTGTAATAATTGAACCAGACGGTGCATATCTGGGTATTTGTTGTACTCTTCTTTCAACTTTTAATTATAAATATTTTCAACTTATGAAAAAGCTGAAGAGTTTGCAGTGAATAATTAGCAGCTGTCTCAGGCATACTTTTGATCTAATACCGTCAATTCATGATTCAATTGTTTGACAAGTGTCTGGAGCACCAATAAAGTCTAGTAGATTTCAAGGAGATTTCATGTGCTTTAGATGCCGACACCCTGGCATTAGAGTTGACATCCTGTCATGAAAATGCAAGTGCCTACCTTACATCCTGCTACTTCCAAGCAGATGGGGAAGCCAGGCCTAGCGCTGGTGCTGCCAAAATGCTTCTCAAAATACAGAAAGATTTTTTTAAATTTAAGCGTTTAGATCTGTCAGGTTTCTCAAACACGTATTTGTTAAGGCCTTAGAGTTCAACACTCAAGATGGATTTTTGACCTCATAAATGTTAAAGTTATTGATGACAGCCACTTCAGTTATAAAATAACCTTTGGCCCTGGTGCCTGGCTTTTAAGGAGGCACGCTGACAAGTCAATTAAAATGAGTCACCTCCAACTTCCAAGATGACTGACTGAGGTGCTACAACTTCCACCAACGATTGTTTAATTGGTATTTTATGTTAGCTTTTAAGCATTATCTGGTTAAATGGGAAATGCCTGATGAACACATTGGTTTTGATTTTAATAGAACTGATACAAAACATGTGATATAGTCACATACCTCTAACAGCTACCCCCAGTTTATTATAATGGAATGGAACCACAACCTTAGTTTTATACACCATAAGGTCTTCAACTACCTCCTCTGGTTTTGAAACTGGTAACAGGAAACAGCCTTTGATAAAGCATTCCTGGCATAGACACTGTACTAGGATTATTCAACCTGAGTCAGACTGTCATTAAAAGGACCAAAGGCTACAAAGACAGCCCTAGTACATAAGCCAAAGTCCCACATGGTTTTTTGTTTGTTTGTTTGTTTTTGAGACGGAGTTTTGCTCTTGTTGCCCAGGCTTGGCTCACCACAACCTCTGCCTCCCAGGTTCAAGCGACTCTCCTGCCTCGGCCTCCCGAGTAGCTGGGATTACAGGCATGTATCACCACACACAGCTAATTTTGTATTTTTAGTAGAGATGAGGTTTCTCCATGTTGGTCAGGCTGGTCTCGAACTCACAACTTCAGGTGATCCGCCTGTCTCAGCCTCCCAAAGTGCTGGGATTACAGGCATGAGCCACTGTGCCCAGCCCCCCACATAGGTTTTAATCAAAAGTTTTGTTAGCTGAAATAACTGTAAATCAAGGCTCTCCCTGTGCTCAAAGCCCCCTGAAATTCCTCCACTAAAGCCTCACCATTCTTCATTGCAGTGACCAATATGCTCACCTATCTTAGACAATTGTGCTTTATGAGGTTACGTAGTCTCTCATGAGTGTTTTCCTAACACTTAGTACTATGTGTATGCATGTTAATATCTCAGCTATTTCCTGAATTAACTTATTCAAGGAATTTGAATACAGCGTTATTGACTCCTTACATTTTGGGGGTGAACAGGAATACCTGTATCTTCTAGGCTCTATAATCCCACCTCTTGCTATAATACATGTGGCTGGGCTCAGGCAAAATTATTTAAAGATCAGGGTAGGTGCAAGCCAAGGTTATCATGTTCATCCTGGCCTAAAATTTCTTCCAATCACAGCAACTAATATTTATTGCAACCTTACAATGTGCTAGAGGCTAATGCTAAATGCCTTACTGGTGTGGTATCATTTAACCATTAGAGAAACCCATGAAACAATGACTACTAATTAGATGATGAAACACCATTGTGACTACACAAAAGGGCTCTTCTGAGTCCTACAAATTTCCCTGAATAAATATCCCTACCCAGAGAAATTCGTTTTTCCCATGTGGATCTTATAAATGAAGATTTGGCAGAACTACGGTCAGTCCTGGCACTTGGCTCTCTGCAAATGATCCTCAAGCATTCAAAAGGCTGTCACATTGATTGCAAAATATGAATGACTAGAAATGTGTATAAAACAAAAGATTCTAAATTAAAAACCTTACATCAAGTTCCAGTTAACACCATGTCCTACTCTTTAGGAAACAGAGGCGGCATGGTAGAATTGTGGGGATATGAAAGTGTGGGCATTAAAGACTATCATCTATGACAAGAACATATTACTACAAAGAAATTGAGTAAATTCCATGCGCGTGAACAGTCCAGGAAGCACCTCTCTACTACAGGTTGAGTTTACGATGAGTATAGCAATACTTAAGCTACATAAAGTGTGTAAGGAAGGAAGCCAATGCATGTGTCATCAAATTATGTAGAATTAAAAGGTAAGCAAGTTTCTCTACCTTGGAAATTGCTCTGGAATAGACCCAACTGACTCCTTGGTGGTGGCATATAAAGCCAGTAAATGAGTAACATTCCTCTTTACTCAGCCCAATTGATAGTAGGACAAAGAGAGTCGGAGTTGCCATATTTGTTATAGAGGAGAAGGAGAAGAAAAAGAAGAGAGGAGGAAGGGAAAGCAGTGATACTGTATTACAGCAGTAATCTCACACAGATGTAGTTTACTTACCTTCGTCAGTGCTTGTCCTAAAAGATTCTCAAACGCTTTCAAATTAAGATGGGGACCATTATAGTACGGGTTGCTTTGTGCTTTTCTTCCCAGCCAGTACAATGTTATCAAAACCTTAAAAAAAAAAAAATCCATGAACAACAAGATCAGTCGATTAGCAACCAATTGCAAGCTCAAATATAGGTGAGTACTGTAGATAAATGATAGCACATATTACTCTGTAAGTGAAAAGTAGACTTTCTTTTAAGTTTATGGGAAAGGTAAAAGTCATTAAAAATCTTAACTTTTCTTGCTAAATTTTCCTGTCTCTGAGCAAGTTCTCAGACCAAAAGTCCAGACTCCAAAAGGTAGTCATTCATATACTCTACTAGTATATACGAAGAGGGAAAAAAATAAGAGAAAACACAAATGAAACTTTTAAAGCAATCAATGTTTTTTCATCGAACTTACAGAATGATCACCTAAACATCAATAATTCTCAGCTTCCTTAATAAGGATGTTAAACTTTTTAATAAAGCTGCAACATTTTTAGATATTCTTGCAATTTCCATAAAATATTGTAAGACATATGAGTCTACATTGATGAATTACCCAGAGTCCTTAAACAGTCAGTGCTTTTCCTTAAAGTCTAAATTGGTAGTTTCCTATTTACTCCTATAAAAATCTTAAAATGTGTTTACTTGCCTTTAGCGTATTGCTAACACATAACAAACAGCTTCCTAAATCTAACCTATCCTCTTATACCACTCTAACAATATGTTTTTAAATTTAATTTTATTTTAAGTTCTGGGATATATGTGCAGGATGTGCAGGTTTGTTATGTAGGTAAACGTGTGCCATTGTGGTTTGCTGCCCCTATCAAGGCATCACCTGGCTATTAAGTCCCACATGCATTAGCTATTTAACCTAAGACTCTCCTTCCCTCCATCACCTGACAGGCCCCAATGTGTGTTGTTCCCCTCCCTGTGTCCATGCGTTCTCATTGTTCATCTCTAGAATACTATGCAGCCATTAAAAGAAACAAGATCATGTCCTTTGCAGGGACATGGTCAGAGTTGGAAGCCATTATCCTCAGCAAACTAATGCAGGAACAGAAAACCAAATACCACACGTTCTCCCTTATAAGTGGGAGCTGAACAGCCTAACCATATATTGTAATGCATATATTTAAACATATTTACTGTTTGTAACTGATTGGTTTGTAGCAAAAAATTAATTAGAAAAGAGATGTAGAGTATACTTTTAGATTCACTGCCTTCTTACAGAACATGAAAGTGAAAGCCACTTATAATGCTCCATTAAGGTAAATGTATCTTACATTTTTCACTCTCCTGTCAGTCTCTTCTTGCCTGTAAAGAAAGAAAATATCTATTAGGTAATATCCGTGAACCTTAAATTATTAATTATAGCTAGAAAAAAACTCATTTTTATTCTAAAATTCTATGAATATTAATATCACATGGAAGTCCAAATCTCTTAGAGCTCATATTATCTCCATCAGAAGAATTTTTCCATATTCATTGATTTGACAAAAGTATAATGCATTGATTTTCTGTATTCATTGATATGCATTAATATAATTGTCAGTTTTCTATAAAAAGCAGTGCTGTTTTTTCATTTTATTCATTTCAGTCTAATTTTTAAATACATTATGTGCATTTTTTGTATTTCCTTCTTAAACAAGGTTTAAACCCAATGAGGGGGGATCAGTGTGTTCATGAAAAAAGAACTGGGAAATGGGGGGAAAAAAACCTTAAAAACACAATGAAAAATAAAAGCGAGGGGTTTTTTGCACTGATGGGGTTTTTTTTTCATCATCCATAAGGTTTTTCATCCAAGTTCCCCAGAGCAAACTGCTCAGAGACTTTGACCCTGCAAATGTTGAAAAGTGGCAGTTTAAAAAACAGCCATGAACCTCTGCCTGAAGAAACTTCACTGTATTATAAGAATCATGGGTTTTTTGCTCACATATGAAAGGGCATGATACTTATGGGAGAAGTTAAAAAGAGGCAGATGGCACCACAGTGTTGAAGAAGCAACAATATGCTACTTCACAAAGGGATGGGTCATCCTAAAAAGAAAGCACTTCCCCTCATTAGAGACACTTAAGCAGGATCGGTGTGAATTCAGAGACTTGTAGAAGCCTGATTAAGAAAGCTTCTAATTGGCCTGTCCAGTCTAACAGCACAGTAGTATACTTTAAGATAAAATATACACACATCTATATATGCATGTAGAAGACATCAACATAAAACACATATATATTCATATATACAGAGAAAAAGTAAAAAGAGAATGTGAGTACACAGAGACTAATTTTTAACTTAGCTTTCAAAGAATCAACAAGGCAACTAAGACCATTCCTTTCCAGAAAACAAACTTGTACTGAAATGAACCTAAGAAGAGCATGCACCTCTTACCCACCTCCCAAAAAAACATCTCAACAATGAAATTCATGAACTCTCACACTACTGATGGAAATGTAAATTGGTACAACTACTTAAACTCTTAAGTCACTTGGTAATATCTATTCAAGCTAAATACATTGATATTCTATGACCTAATAATTCCATTCCTAGGTATACATCCAACATAAACGCTTATATATGTTAACAAAAAGTTATATACAAGAATGTTTATCACAGCACTATTCATCGCAACAAAAACTAGAAGCAGCGTAGATGTCCTTAACATTATAATGGATAAATTATGGCATATCCACGTAATGAAATATCATATGGCAATGAAAATAACCTTCAACTATATTCAACCACAAGTTCAACCTCTCAAATAATGGAAAGAAAAAGAAGCCAAAAGCAAAAGAGTACAGGCTGTATTATTCCATTCATATAAAGTACAAAGACAGGCTGAATAAAAAAATGCTGTTAGAAGTCAGGGTAGTGGTTACCCTTGTGGGAAGAGAATGACAGAAGAGATTAGAAGAGGATGGGGCACTAGGATGACAATTGTTTGTGCTTCGATCTGGAAGCTGGCTACTCAGGTGTGCTCAGTTTCCAAAAAGTATTTAAGTTGTACATTTGTAATATGTATACTTTTCTGTATATTATCCTTCAAAAAAGTAAACAAGTAGAATAAATTCCACAGCCCATGTGCTCAAACCATAGCTTAACTCTTGAGTAAAAAGAAAATTATCTTATAAAAATCCACAGCAATGGCCGGGTGCAATGGCTCATGCCTGTAATCCCAGCACTTTGGGAGGCTGAGGAGGGTGCATCCCCTAAGGTCAGGAGTTCAAGACCAGCCTGGCCAACACGGGGAAACCCCGTCTCTACTGAAAGGACAAAAATTAGCCAGGCGTGGTGGTGGGCGCCTGTAATCCCAGCTACTCAGGAGGCTGAGGCAGGAGAACAGCTTGAACCCGGGAGGCGGAGGTTGCAGTGAGCTGAGATTGCGCCACTGCATTCCAGTCTGGGCGACAAGAGCAAGACTCCGTCTCAAAAAACAAACAAACAAACAAAAACCCAGCACTTTAACTTAGAAGTGGTAAGTGGGAAAAGTCACTAGAAACTGACAACAAAAAACAGCAGAGTTGCAAACATATAGCCCCTTTTTTGGACTAATAACCAACATACACATGTCAAACATTAAATTAGCCAAAGCACAAAAGAATCATCAATGCACAGGACAAAGAATGCACTGGGCTGAACATCCTCCCACTTTGATCATAAGCACACTCAAGGCAGAAGGAAAAACAGAGCTCTCTTGAACCCCTGACCTCATTTCCACAGTCCTCAAAAAGGTTTCTAATCCAACATACTCATTTGTTTTCACTTTTTATCATGATAAAACAATCATTGGAAATACAAGGGATGTCCTATTCTGTGATAAACACCATAAGCAGTGACCTTCGCATTATTACCTTTTACTCACTTTACATTCCCTTCTAAATATGAGCATTTATAACATGCTCTTGGACATGATACATAGGCCAGCCAAATTAGTGTCCTATCTCTGAAATGCAATGCCAGGAATTCAAGTAGTCAATGATTTGCTGGAGTAAACAGAGTTCACTCTCTCACATACAAATGCATTCCACTGCATGGAAGTCGGTAACCAAGCAGCTCCTTTGCCTGTCATGTGGCCACAGGGCATAACCCAAAGTCCTTTAAAATAGAACTACTGCAATGGTGAAGGGGAAGCTCACAGTAACACAGGTAACACACACACACTCCATGAACCAGCCTACTTACTGCACGACACCTCAGAATGAAATATAAGACAGCCTTAGCTCCAAAGTTGGATAATTTTTCCACAACAAATATGTCCAAAGTTGACATGGTCTGATACCATGTTTAAGTGCCTGCGCTTTGGAGTCAGATCTGGGTCTCACTGTGTTCATTTGGTAATTTACTTGACTCTCAAAGCTTTGATTTCCTTCTGGACAAAGTAGGGATAATGCCCTCTGTTTCAGTAGATTAGAAGGAAATTTCCTTCTAATGGTGAAGTGTTCATCAAGAAACAGACCAGGCACAGTGGCTCATTCCTGTAATCCCAGCACTTTGGAACACCAAGATGGGAGGATCGCTTGAGTCCAGAAGCTTAAAATAAGCCTGGAAAACATAGCAAGACCCTGCCTCTTAAACAATGTAAAAATTAGCTAGGCACAGTAGCACATGCTTATAGTTCCAGCTACTTGGGAGGCTGAGGGCAGAAGGATCTCTTGAATGCCGGAATTCAAGGCTGCAGTGACCTATGACCACACCACTGCACTCCAGGCTGGGTGACAAAGCGAGACCCTCTCTCAAGAAAAGGAAGAGAAGAGGGGAGAGGGGAGAGAGAAGAGAACAAAGAACCCATACCTGCATTGAAACCCAAGTCTGCAATAAAAATGGGTACAGATAAAATGTTAATAGTTTAAAAAAATACCTATCTTGGGTATGATGATAGCCCTTACTCTACACTATGATCAAAGAACAACAACTCTGTGAACAAAGAATTATTACAAGGCTGTAAGCCATGTGATGGCAAGGCCCATCAGTGGACCCCAATATTTAGAACTGCAACTAGCCCACCTGACACACCCAATCTCTCATCCGTGCTTTATTTTTGTATTTATAACCATCTACTATAGGCATTTTTTTCTCTCCTCTACCTGAATCCAAAAGGACTTTTGTGATTTTGTTCACTGCTATATTCCAACTGCCTTAAGACAGGGTCTACCACTTGGCAAGCACATAAAAATATTTGATTAAAAATGCCTCGCACAGTACATGGCAAACAGATGCTCTCAAATTCTGGTTAAATACATTTATTTAACCTATAGAAATGTAAATTAGCAATAAAAAGCCTGAAATGATAAAAGCTCAGGAGACAATACTCATACAATGTCAGAGAACAATTAAATTGCATTAACCTACTTCAAATATGTCCAATTTCAACTCAAATTGTATTGATACTCATAATTATACTTCTTACTAACCTGTTATCTTTAAATTGCAATAAAATAGAATTCTTTAGAATCAAATCAATAATCCCTCCAAAAAACAGATACAGAAACAAAGACCAAAGTGCTTTGTACAAACTTCAAAGGACTGAATACAAAGCTTACATGGTGGCCTATGTGATGAAAAAGCTTCCTAACAGAGCTCTGAAAGACAGAGCCCAAAGAATCCATACTTGCACTGAAATCCAAATCTGCATTAAAAATGGGTAGATATGCAGGAGGCAGAGTTTGCAGTGAGCCGAGATCATGCCACTGCACTCCAGCCTGGGCGACAGAGCAAGACTCCATCCAAAAAAAAAAAAGGGGTAGATATGAAATATTAATAGTTGCAAAAAAAAATACCTATCTTGGGTATGTTGATAGCCCTTACTCTATACTTGGATCATACATTAACTTTTACATGTTTAATATTCAAGAAATAGCAAATACAGCATAGACACAATCTTCCACTCTATTAATGGAATAGCTCTGATAATTCCTTTGCTTTCTGGCAAAGGGCCAGAAACTATATGCCCATCATGGACATCTGAGCTTTCTGCCAGAGAGTAAGAACAAGGGAGCCCCAAGCTCTCAAGTGGACTCATGCAGCTCTAATCATCTTATCCTAACTGCTACTATGTTAACTTAGAACCAGGAAGCTCTAGGTCTGATCCTCTTTTCTTTACTCAAAGGTTTTAAAATACTAGTACCAAGTCAATCAAGAAATATCATTTCTAACCAAAGGACCAGTGGGTAAAAAAGTCTACATAGATGCTGTGGGTCTTCAGGGATCCCAGGCCGGGTCGTTCCCTGAGGAGGAAGCTTGGTTGAGTGCGGGACTTTGGGGTTCAGACCTCCAGTGTGTAAATTCTGGCTCCACTTTCACTAGCTGTGAGAACTTGATTGCATCACTTCACTGTCTCCAAAGCCTCACCTGTAAAATGGGAACAACAGTACCAGCCTCACTGGGCTTTAGTGAGAGATTTAAAAAATGCTTAATCAAAGCAGGACAAGTAAGTGAGACAATTCAAGGCTATTCCTTAATTATCCATCTCAGCCAAACTACTAGGGGACAGGGCAGTGGCTGGAGGACAGTCAACTCCGCCCCCTCCACCCCCAACACAGTTTTCTTCCTCAGAAGAGACATTTCTGTGAAGAATAATTCAAGGCACTCTTCGATGTTATACTTTCCTTGCCCTTTTGCCATGGAAGGCTTTAAAGAAGGATAAGAAATAATTTCTAGAAGGTCAAACCAAGGGCAAAGCACACTGGCGTGGTATTATTAGCATTGTCCAAACTTCCATGTTGGCCCCAAGCCAGCCCTCCCCACACATCCTTGGTTTACCAGGGCCTGCCTTGGCCAAATACCCTTAAATTTTCCAAAATCTGAGGGAAAATGTGCCTACACAGCCAAAATCTATCTTCATTTATGATCGGGTTTGGAATAAGGTGCTAATGGATGAGATTATAGTTTTACCGCAGTGCACCAGCCAATTATGTTCTAGGGCTAGGGCTGCATCAAAAATATTTCTAAATGCCTTCTGTTTATCCAAGGAGCTAACTCTGGGCCCATGCACATGCACCCAGCACCGCCTTCCCCAGGGTATGTTTAGAGCATACTATGCTCTAAGGAGTCTGCGTGTGGGCCCAGACAGCAGGGAGCTGGAGCCACACTGGCCACATGGTTGCATACCAGAGTCCATCAAAGGCCTAGCTAAGAACAGCCAAGCATTTAAATGTTCATATATGAGCTATCAAAGCCACTCACAGAACCAGCTCCGCAGATCGGGGCCAAGACAGACAGGAAATTTTTCCCCACGTGGGAGTAAAGCTTCATAGAATTTGCCACAGAATCCCACTTCTCTGTGTTCCTCTCACATGTCTTAGTACCTCTCTTTCTCAAGGTACCAGCATTCTCATTTGCAACGCTGGAAGGCCTGATCTCCCCATGCTTTGCCTAAATAACATAACCTCCTAGGAGTTGAATTCTTTATGCTCCAAAATCATCTCTTCTCCCCAAATCCCAGCCCCTATCCTGTCCAAGCCAATCTTGTTTAAGATCAAATACAGTTATCTGACTGAATCATTATACAGGGAAACATGTATGATAAAAACCTCACACTGGAATTTTTGACAGAATGGGAATGCTTTTGTCCAAAGAATCCCCGGGGGAAGATTTATCCATATCCTAATAGAAAAGGTAAGAAGTTTGAACTCACCTGCCCCCACACCCAGCTTCCAGCCCATGCCTCCATGGTTAACAGGGAATCTGAAATTCTTCAAGGGGCTTGAGCAGAGGTAACTGCCCAGTTCAAACTCCACCCTGCTACCAGAATAAGTATCCGCCTTGCTTTGTTGCCCAGAACAACTGCAACTCATGAGTGATTCTGTCCCCAGCCCTCTACTTCCTGAGGCCACTTCCCAGAGCAATGCATGGATTCTTCCTACAGACCCCACCCTTCAAAAGTCAGTTCCAGCCCTGCCCTGCCCTGGGTGGCACCAGCTGACCTGGGAGTTGCCTCTTGGGAAACTGGACTGATATTAGAAGAGCTGGGCTCACAAGATACTTGGTCCCTCTCCAAGCCACTAAGTAATCTCTGCTCTCCAGTTGTTGCTTATGCAGCTTGGCCACCTGTTCACAACTTTAAAAAAAAATCAAGAAATGAGGCCGTGAATCATGATTTCATGAGCAGTCACAGGAAGAAAAAGTATATGGACTGCATCTGGTTTAAATATGTAAGATATGTCTGGGGCAAGAGCGGAGGCATGTGTGGCAGTGGGAGACAGTAGGGAAAATTCAAAGCAGAAGTTCTTCTGAGGACAGAGCAGTGGCTTTTTTTTTTTTTTTTTTTTTGAGGCAGAGTTTTGCTCTTTTTGCCCAGGCTGGTACAATGGCACAATCTCGGCTCATTGCAACCTCCACCTCCCAGGTTCAAGTGATTCTCCTGCCTCAGCCTCCCAAGTAGCTGGGATTAGCCCGCCAACACGCTCGGCTAATTTTTTGTATTTTTAGTAGAGATGGGGTTTCACCATGTTGGCCAGGCTGGTCTCAAACTCCTGACCTCATTTTTATATATGCAACAAGCCAGTCTATCTGCAAACAGGAGAAAAGTGTAGGTGTCATAAGAAACCCTAAATGTACTAAGTGAAATTTTAAGAGAATAATGAGAAAATCATTTTTAATACCACTGTCTCTAAGGGAAGGGGCTATTGCTCTTCAAAACCTAGGAATCAAAATAGGAATTTAGGAATATATCAGGTACTGGCTTCTTGTTCCACTAAATGAAGTTCTATTGTTCTATGAATGGAAGCTCATCCATCGCACTATTTAAAATAGAGAAAAGTGCAATCACCATTCTCTCATCACTATGTCAAACAAGAGATATGTGAATAAAACAAGTTGAAGATGAATTCTTAGAATACTTCACTTCTTTCCTTCTCTCAAAAAAAGTAAGCTGCATTAAAAAGAAAACTAAGAAACAGAATCTACCTCCTTCCCTCCCACCTTCATTCCTAAAAATGAAGCTGCATTCCATTTGACAACCTCCCAGTGACGTTAGAGGCGTGTGACTCATTGGTTTTAATCTGCCATTGCTACAAACATGCCATAATCATTGTGGAAACTATTAAAGTGACACTTGAGAAAATAAGATCATCCCTGGAGACAATTAGTGAACCCAAATATATGAACCTGACGATTTCTGTACTTACTTAATTGAGAAAAAAACTTAGAAATTCAACACTTTGCCCTAGCAACATAATGCTTATTCCAATCTTGATAAGTGAATAAGTACCCTCTTGTTAAAAATAATTTGTTATTAAATTTCACAGCTCTCCCACACACTACTAAGAATAGCATAGTTTCACTTAAAGAGAAACAAACCACACACACACGCATTCAAAGACACCGGCACACATTCCCACTTAAGTAACACAGCAGAGGAGTGCTGCTGCAGGAGCCGAAAGGTGGGTTTAATCCCTAACCCTCTCAACCAGAGACTTATAATGCTTCTTTTCTACTTTTTGTAAAATGCTTGTTATTACGTAAAGCTAACTTCACAACTGAGACGTGTGTCTCCCCATTAGACGGTAAACCACAAACAGAGTGCATATTAAGGTGACTACTGAATACAGAATTTAGTATCCACTATGTATGATCTGTTTATTAAATGGAGTTATGACATTCGGTTATATAAAATGTGTTGAGGGAGAGAGTAGATGTCAAGCAAATAAACTCACACATGATTTTTCTCCTGTGATTAACAAAGGCAATTATTATATTACATAATTAAGTATAAAGTAGGACTTAAACAGATCCCAACCAGAAAACACTTCACTGATACTATGTCCTTAAGATTTTTAAACTGATCTTCCAAACAGTTTAAAAGGTGATAATGCTAGGTAACTGCAGCAATGAAAATAGTAGGCTTTGGTTTTAGACATGTTAAGTGTCAAACACTTAACGTAAAAATGTTGAGTAGGTAAATTGGTAATTAGACATTCGAATAAGATGATCAAGGTAGAAACTTAGACTAGAGATGTAATTAGTGGAGTTGTCAGCACAGAGATGAAATAGAACCTCATAAGACTGAATGGAATCACCTAGAAAATAAGTAGAGAGAGGCCGGGCGCGGTGGCTCACGCCTGTAATCCAAGCACTTTGGGAGGCCGAGGCGGGCAGATCATGAGGTCAGGAGATCAAGACCATCCTGGCTAACACGGTGAAACCCCATCTCTACTAAAAATACAAACAAACAAAAAAAAATTAGCCAGGCGTGGTGGCTGGTGCCTGTAGTCCCAGCTACTCGGGAGGCTGAGGCAGGAGAGTGGCGTGAACTTGGGAGGTGGAGCTTGCAATGAGCCGAGATTGCGCCACTGCACTCCAGCCTGAGCAACAGAGCGAGACTCCATCTCAAAAAAAAAAAAAAAGAAGAAAATAAGTAGAGAGAGAAGTGGTCCAGGGATTGAACCCTCACAAACCCAACACTTAAGGGTTAAGAAGTAGAGGAGAAACCAGCAAGACCAACAGAAGGGACACCCAGTGTGGCAGGAGTGGCCACTGCAGTGCAGGCAAGCAAGACACAGACACTTTATATCAATCATTATGTGGACTATTCTACATTGTGTCCTTTAACCCATATGACAATGTAATGATGTTGAGATTAGGCAGAGCCAACAGTACTATCGAGAGGTGGAGCAGATGAGGGGTGAGGATGAACTAGTGGGTCATCTTCTTACCCATCTCTACATCTCACACACATTCACGCCACACACACAATTACTAAATTACTAGTGACTTCTCTTCAAAGGAGGACAAAGAGTAGAGATGAGTATTAACATCAACAAAAATTTTCTCCAAACCACTGATATTCCTGAAGACACAACTTAAAAGAATACTAAACTAGACATTTCAGGTGTCCTTCCAGACTTGATCCCATGCTCAAAACCAATATAAAACTTGATAATATAAATCTTTTAGTCTTTAGGATCATGATATTGGAATAAAAATAAAGTTGCCTGATTATATGTTTTCATCCAAGTGTTTTGCAAACTGTACCATGAAACAGGAGAAACTGGCAACATTTTAATAGGTCTGAAGGTCAAAACATTTTTAAAAGTACTAATTCTATGCTGTCCTCTTGAATACACATACTAGCAAATTGAAATTATGAGAAGTCCTATAACAAAGACCTATTTTACTTAAACTTTGAAAAATTTATTTTTTTGGCAGAACAGTTTAAAAATCTTAAGGACACTAGTATTAATGAAGTGTTTTCTAGTTGTGATCTGTTTAAGTCCTCCTTTATACTTAATTATGTAATATAATAATTGTAATAATTGCCTTTATTAATCACTTTCTATCAATCATTATGTTGAGTATTGTACATTATCTCCTTTAATCCACACAACAATGCAATGATTTTGACATTAGGAAACTGCAACTCCAAAAGCTTAAGAAACTTTGCCAAGGTTACAAAACTATTAAGGTTTGATGTGATTCATAGGCTTTCCCAAGACCCTGTTTTATTAATAGTATGAGGGTAATCACAAATATTTTCTACCTTACTATATTTTTAAAATAAATTACTTCTTTCTTAATCCCAAAAAGTTATCTTCATCATATCCTGAACTATAACTCATTTTTTTCTCAAAGTATTGATTCAAACCCTGTTGCCAATAATTTCTTTCCTAAATCTGTCACCCAAAGACAATGGTAGAAGTTCCCCACTGCCATTTTTTCTGACAAAATTTAGATATTTTCCACTATCCTGTATATACAACACACTACAGAATTTCACAAATGAAATATTGCCAAAGCACTTTTTAAAAGACTTATAAGTAAATGAAATACCATCAATTCTCATACTGAGAGATCAACAGTATTCATTTCCTGTATTTTACCACTGCTGGGTCCTTATAAGTAAGATTTCTGTAAAACAAATATCTATCAACTGAAAATAAACAAGATTACAAAGCAAGCATGTACAAGATTAAATAGAAAAATCTGTCAATTTCCTGAAGTTACATTTTATTATCTTAAAAAATAAAGATAATATCCATCTTTAGGTTTTGTGGAAATTAAACACATTTAAAATGCCTAGCACATAAATACTTGTTTCCTTTCTGATGTACATGGAAGTTCTCTGTAAAGCATAAGCTGATGTAAATTGTTGTTTATAAGTTATCACTGCACCTATTCCTTAGCTGTGATTTAATATATATTAAATGTGCTGTGTGATATGAACCCTGGTCAAAATAATGCATGCCAAACTATGTATGCATGCAACACATTCAGAAGTCTACATATTACTTAAAAATAAATTATTCTACCCTGCCTATAAGTGGGAGGTTTCAAAATTTTAATTTTCAACCATGAGGAAAATTAGTACCCTCCCCAAATGAGATTCCAAACCCTCAAGTTTTATGTCATAAATCACTCTAGTCCTAAATATTGCCTGCTCCACAAAAGCCTCTTTATCTCATGTTTACTGGCACAATCCCAAGATACAACACACTAAATTTTTCACAATTTGATTTATGCCAAAGGTTAATCGAGATAATATAATTTTAGACCAAGGTTTCTCAACCTCGGCAATATTAACATTTTGAACCTCATAATTCTCTGCTTCGGGGGGAAACTGTACTATGCATTGTGGATGTTAAGTGGCATGCCTGACCTCTACCCACTAGATACCACTGCCACTCCCTGGCCCCAGGCATGAAAATCAGAAATGTCTCCAGATATTGTCAAATGTCATGGGGCCAAGGGAAGGGGGGTACAAAATTTCCCATGGTTGAGAACCACTGTTTCGGTGGATCTCAGAATTTAGCTAACTCCACTAATCAGATAAAGCAGACTTGAGGTTCCCAGGGGTCTAAAATTAGCTGAAAGGCTCATTTAAAGACTGTAACCTAGAAAAGGTATTAAATATATAAGCAAAGCAAACAGACAAGCAAGGAATACACACCTAAGAAGTTAATGAAAAACATACCATCAGACCAAAGGGCAAGACCTACCTCAGTGCCTAAACCATTAATAGATACTCAGTAAACATATATAGTAAATGCAGGAAGAATTACAATTTAGTAGAGCCAAGAGCTCAACATTCTTGCCACCTTGGAAGAAAAACTCATTCAAGCTCTCTTGTCTTTCAGATACAAAGTGGCAGGAAATGATGTATCTGGCCCGGTAGGTTGGCTCATGCCAGTATTCCTAGTACTTTGAGAGGATGAGGTGGGGTAATCACTTGAGGTCAGGAGTTCCAGACCAGCCTGGCCAACATGATGAAACCCCTTCTCTTCCAAAAATACAAAAATTAGCTGGGCATGGTGGTGAGGCCTGTAGTCCTAGCTACTCAGGAGGCTGAGGTGGGAGGATCAATTGAACCCAGGAGGCAGGAGTTTGCAGTGAGCCAAAATCGCACCACTGCATGCTTCAGCCTAGGCAACAGAGCGAGACTCTGTGTCAAAAAAAAGGAACATATCAGATCTTCATTTTATCCATTACAATGATATTGCAAAATATTTCTAGCAAGTGTAACCAACTTAGATGACCCTGCTCCCTCAGCTGGGCCTTATTTAAGCAATTACCTAATATTACACATTTTAGATGCCATTTTTATGCATTCCAAAATGGTTATGTATATGCTGTAAAATACATCTGTGCATAAAATATACTGTATGTGAATAATCCATGTTATGCCATCACAAATGGTTTTCTTAGCTACAGAAAAAGATTCCATTTTGAATTCTTTGTTCCTACTCCACACTTTAAAATACTGAAAATTTATTGAGTTCAGTGGGAGGTTGAATAATGACCCCACTCCCCACCAAGGTCTACTTCCTAATCCCTAGAACCTGTGAATGTTACCCTACATGGCAAAAAGGACTTTACAAATGTGATTAAAGATCTTCAGATGGGGAGACATCCTGGATTATCCCAGTGGGTCCTAAACATAATCACAAGTGTCCTTATGAGAGGGAGGAAGAGGGAGACTCGACTGTTGTAGAGGAGAAGGGATTGTGACCACAGAGGCAGAGATTGGAGCAGTGATGCAGCCAGGAGCCAAGGAATGCTTGGCTATCCCTAGAAGAGACAGAAAGAAGTGGATTCTCCCCTGGAGCTGCAAGAAGAAACCAACCCTGCTGATGCCTTGTTTTTAGCCCCTTAAGACTCATTTTAGACATGACATCTAGAGACATGTAGGAGAGTAAGTTTGTGTTGTTTTAAGTCACTACATTTGTGGTCATTTGTTATAGCGGCAACAGAAAATAAACACAAGTACTATACAGCATTGCCCTACACATTTCATATGCAGCTTAATTTTATCACCAATGCAGTTCTATATTCAGTGTTATTCACATTTTACAGAGGTGAGACTGAAGCTTAATGAGATTAAGCAATTTTCCAGAAGTCACCTTTATTATATTGTTATAATTCAAGCCCCAGTTGATCTGACCTAAAAGTCTATTCACAGCATATGAGGATCATTTGGCTGAAGAAAATGAAACACCTACTCCTAATTCTCCCTTTTAATCCTCATCTACAGCTAATCAATGCCAACAGTTTATGACAGTGAAGCTCATAGTTCACAGCTGAATTTTGTTACCAAATTTTCACATGAAACTTTTTAATTCTAATTAGTTTAAGACAAAGTTGACAAATGGGATCTAATTAAACTAAAGAGCTTCTGTACAGCAAAAGAAACTACCATCAGAGTAAACAGGCAACTTGCAAAATGGGAGAAAATTTTTGCAACCTACTCATCTGACAAAGGGCTAATATCCAGAATCTACAATGAACTCAAACAAATTTACAAGAAAAAAACAAACAACCCCATCAAAAAGTGGGCAAAGGATATGAACAGACACTTCTCAAAAGAAGATATTTATGCAGCCAAAAAACACATGAAAAAATGCTCATCATCACTGGCCATCAGAGAAATGCAAATCAAAACCACAATGAGATACCATCTCACACCAGTTAGAATGGCAATCATAAAAAGTCAGGAAACTACAGGTGCTGGAGAGGATGTGGAGAAATAGGAACACTTTTACACTGTTGATGGGACTGTAAACTAGTTCAACCATTGTGGAAGTCAGTGTGGCGATTCCTCAGGGATCTAGAACTAGAAATACCATTTGACCCAACCATCCCATTACTGGGTATATACCCAAAGGATTATAAATCATGCTGCTATAAAGACACATGCACATGTATGTTTATTGCGGCACTATTCACAATAGCAAAGACTTGGAACCAACCCAAATGTCCAACAATGATGGACTGGATTAAGAAAATGTGTCACATATACACCATGGAATACTATGCAGCCATAAAAAATGATGAGTTCATGTCCTTTGTAGGGACATGGATGAAATTGGAAATCATCATTCTCAGTAAACTATCGCAAGAACAAAAAACCAAACACCACATATTCTCACTCATAGGTGGGAATTGAACAATGAGATCACATGGACACAGGAAGGGGAACATCACACTCTGGGGACTGTTGTGGGGTGGGGGGAGGGGGGAGGGATAGCATTGGGAGATATACCTAATGCTAGATGACGAGTTAGTGGGTGCAGCACACCAGCCTGGCACATGTATACATATGTAGCTAACCTGCACAATGTGCACATGTACCCTAAAACTTAAAGTATAATAATAAAAGAAAAAAAAAAGCAAAAAAAAAAAAAAAAAAAAAAAGGAAAATAGAGTAAGGTTAAAAAAATACTCCCAAGACATCATCTTTTCCATTAGATAATTATAAATGTATTTTTTAAAGTACAGGTGCCATTAGAAAAAGGAATGAGAAATTTCTTCTGTGCAAATACATTTTCAAACTTCCCAAGACTAATAAAAGCAAATCCAACCTATTTCATGAATAAAGTTGGAGGAATTGAGCAATAGTAATTGTCCAAAAAATTGTTGCAGGAAGTCAGGGAACCCAAACGAAGGGACCAGCTGAAGCCACGGCAGAAGAACATAAATTGTGAAGATTCATAGACATTTATTAGTTCCCCAAATGAATACTTTTATAATTTCTTACACCTGTCTTTACTGCAATCTCTGAACATAAATTGTGAAGATTTCATGGACATTTATCACTTCCCCAGTCAATAATCTTATAATTTCCTATGACTGTCTTTAATCTCTTAATCCCGTCATCTTCTTAAGCTGAGGATGTATGTCGCCTCTTGATCCTGTGATGATTGTGTTATCTGCACAAATTGTAGAGCATGTGTGTTTGAACAACATAAAATCTGGGCACCTAGAAAAGGAATAGGATAACAGCGATGTTCAGGGAACAAGGGAGATAACCATAAAGTCTGACTGCCTGCAGGGCCGGGCGGAACAGAGTCATATTTCTCTTCTTCCAAAACGAATAAGAGAAATATTGCTGAATTCTTTTTCTCAGCAAGGAACAGCCCTGGGAAAAGAATGCACTCCCAGGGGGAGGCCTCTAAAATAGCCACTCTGGGAGTGTCTGTCTTATGCAGTTGGGATGAAATACGCCCTGGTCTCCTGCAGCACCCCCAGGCTTGTTAGGATTGGGAAATTCCAGCCTGGCGAAATTCTAGTCAGACCAGTTCTCTGCTCTTGAACCCTGTTTCCTGTTAAGATGTTTATCAATGACAATGCATGCACAGTGGGACAGGGAACCTCATCAGTAATTCTAATTTCACCCTGGCCTTGTGACCTTGCCCTGCCCATTTGCCTTGTGATATTTTATTGCCCTTGAAGCATGTGATCTCTGTGACCCATACCCTATTTGTATACTCCTCCCCTTTTGAAATCCATAACAAAAACTTGCTGGTTTTGCGGCTCAGGGGGCATCACGGAACCTGCCAACATGTGATGTCTCCCCCGGACATCCAGCTTTAAAATTTATCTCTTTTGTACTCTTTCCCTTTATTTCTTAGACTGGCTGACACTTAGGGAAAATAGAAAAGAACCTACATTGAAATATTGGGGGCTGGTTCCCCCAATAAAAACATAAATCATAATGTCTGTTTTTAACTAAATATTTTGTTTCTGATAACTTGTATAAAGCTACTTGTCTTCAGAAAGTCAATGGGATGCGTTATGTCAATTTTTCCATTTACATAGCTATCCTTGATTTGATATATATACACAAATGCATGCACATGCACGCACATGCACTTCCTATTTAGCCTTCCATATAACACTTGGAATTTCAGAATATTAGAGTATCACCAATCATCCTGTATAAATCATTGAGAAAGAAGTGACAGGCTTCAAATGAATAATATAACTAGCTTTCAAATTCAGGTTAATATAATCCTGACATTCAGTTAACTTTCAAGTTCAATATACATTCAATCAGATGTCTTTCAGATTAGTTTACATTGATTGCAATCAATTTCAACGTTCCCATTTTATGTTTGAATATCTTGCAAAACCTTCCCAAAACTAATGAATTGAATGAGTTCTCCCCCCATCCCCATCTCCTGTTCACCATATTTAGTTCCAACCCAATTATGCTAATACTTCCCAGGAAACTTCTCAGCTGTGTCCTTTAGAATGCCACTGTCATTATCTCTGCCCAGAATTTAAAGTTTGATAAGTTCTTAAGTGCATGCATCACCTAATCCTCAAGCCTGCACACCTTTCCACATGCTCTGTCCTGGTTGTACAGGCTTGAGGATTAATGATGCATGCACTTGGGTGAGGAGCCTCCAACTTTCAGCATCAGAAGCTGAGGCCTAAGCCAAACAACTCCCTTTCCTGAAAACTCTCATCACCAAATCCCATCAATTCGAGCTCCTAAATATCTCTTGAATTCATTCTTCTTCCTCAGATGACATTCACTTCCTGCCAGCCTCCAGTCTTGCCTTATACCCTTCTCCTCCTCCACAGAGATGCCTCCAGGACCTTCCTAAAATATTGGGAGAGTTGGGGGTATAGTAATACATGTTTTAATGAGCCCTGCAGGTAATTCTGATGCATGCTAATGATTGAAAGCCCTTGCCCTAGCAATATACCAAAGTTAAAATTACGTCTGAACTGAAACTACAGCTTCAACGAGTTTAGCTACTACCCTGAAAAAAAGTTCAGTTGAAACATAAGTCCTCTAGCCTTACCCAACTAGAATTAAAAACAAACAATAAAAAGCACAAAGAAACTCGAAGTTAAGTGAAACGCCTGGAACGACTGCCAATGATTTTCAAGTGTTGACTTCAAAAAAACTCAATATGCCTTACGGTGCTTACATCTGCTTAAGGGCGCATTGTTAAAAGGCACTCGATTGGCCGGGCGCAGTGGCTCACGCCTGTAATCCCAGCATTTTGGGAGGCCGAGGCGGGTGGATCACGAGGTCAGGACATCGAGACCATCCTGGCTAACATGGTGAAACCCCATCTCTACTAAAAATACAAAAAATTAGCCAGGCATGGTGGCAGGCGCCTGTAGTCCCAGCTACTCGGGAGGCTGAGGCGAGAGAATGGCTTGAACCTGGGAGGCGGAGGTTGCAGTGAGCTGAGATCGCACCACTGCACTCCAGCCTGGGAGACAGAGCAAGACTCCATCTCAAAAAAATATAAATAAATAAATAAATAAAAACCACAGATCTTGAGTCCACAGAACAAAATGTTTCAAGTAGCACCGAAGAAATTACTTTCATAAGATGTCTGAAAAGTCAACCACAGACAGCTTTAAAGGAATCCTATTTAGAAGGTTAAAATAAGTTACCTTGCATTGGTTTTAAAATGTCCTCATAATACCATGCATTCTTGTCGTAGTCTCTGAAGAAGGGTAATCAGTGAGAAACCAGGCTAGAGATATTTTTGTATTGCCTAATCTCTAATTTGTTTTTCCCAGTTAAGAAAATCAGAAGTGGCCAGGCACGGTGGCTTACGCCTGTAATCCCAGCACTTTGGGAGGCCGAGGCGGGCGGATCACGAGGTCAGGAGATCGAGACCATCCTGGCTAACACGGTGAAACCCCGTCTCTACTAAAAACACAAAAAATTAGGCGGGCGTCGTGGCAGGCGCCTGTAGTCCCAGCTACTCGGGAGGCTGAGGCAGGGAAATGGCATGAACCCGGGAGGCGGAGCTTGCAGTGAGCCGGGATCGCCCCACTGCACTCCAGCCTGGGTGACAGAGCGAGACTCTGTCTCAAAAAAAAAAAAAAAACAAGAAAAGAAAATCAGAAGTAAATAACATTCAAATAATTTATCTGAATGTGATGAAACATTAAATGAACATGAATTTAAGGCCACCTTCCAAATCCTACAGAGAATTATAATACCAAAGTATTTTCCACAAAAGTAGTGATGTGTAAATAGAGTTAAGGCACCAGATTTAAAACAGGAAAACAGACCAACACTCTGAAAATAGGTATGCAACATGAATGAAGAAAAATATACCGTGGCTGGGAAGAAAAATTTAATTGCCATTGGTAAACTTTCTTCTTTATATTCTTAAATGTGGAATAGCATGAACATATTCTGGTTTGCTGGTTAAAGCAGGTAAGTTGTCTTTAAAATTTAAGGCTAGCCTTATTTTATACAGATTCCTAAATCCGAACTATAATAATAAAGCAAAATGTAAACAAAGTACCATTCATATAGACAGTTTCACTGAAATGAGTGAACACTGGGGGAGGAAGAAAAAAAAGAAATAAAACAGTGTCCTCATTCAAGTCCATTGCCAGCTGAGCTGGCGATGAGATGCAGTGAAAATAACTACACCTGGACAGCGGATGTGGCACTTCCATCCACATCTCCATCTTAGCTCACTGGCTGACATTGCAAACGCCACCTCACCTCATCTGGGACACTTTTCTCACATGCAAAAGGACTGCCCTGAATGAGATTATGTCCTTAGTACCTTCCAGCTCTGGTATTCTGATTTTTACCTCTTAACAAAGGAACATTTCTTAAAAGTGCACATTTCTCAAATTAACAATTCACACTACAATTTTTAAATTGATAGGAAAATCAACCTAGAGCTTTACTAGTGTCCCTAGAGAGGCTCTCTCTCAGAGGCTTTCTGGTAAGTTCAAATAAAACAGTGAACACTCACATCAACTGTATGACATGCATGATGAAGCACTCTGAACTAATATTAGATGTTCCCATGTATTACCTCGATTAGAATTGTGGGATAACGTGCTCCAGAGCTGTTGAAGGCTAATAACTTTTTTACACTATATTTATCTCCTCCTAACCTATGTCAATTTTTTAAAGTCTTCAGAAATTAAAATTCTTTTGAAATCACAATCGAAGTTATTGGTAGCAAAAAATGGGTATGTTATCAAAGTCATTCATAAAAGCTATTCCAAGAAGTTTTTTAAAAAGCTTTCAAATCATATAATTCCAACTTTCTTCTTACAGTTTCAATAGAGTATAAAAAGGGATCAAACACGAGATTGTCAAATTATTGACTTAGGAGTGGGAGACAAGGAAGAGAACAATGAACAATGCACCTGGAGGCAAGGGAAATGACTATACAGAAGTTCAAATGTTGATCGAGATAAGTCCTTCCTGGTTCTGTAATTCCCACGATTTTATGAATGAACTAACTTCAAAAAGACTTGTGGCCCTTAGACACAATCACTTACTACGACTTAACGTTATATATATATATATATATATATATATATATATATATATATATCCGATATATATACATGGCATATATATATATATATATGTATGTATGTATGTATATATATATATATATATCCACAACATTTCTTTATCCAATCATCCATTGATGGACACTTACGTTAATTCTGTATCTTTGCTCTTACAAATAGTGTTGCAATAAACATGACTGCAGGTATCTTTTTGATATTCTTTCCCTTTAGGTAGATACTGGATAGATGACTGCTGGCTCAAATGGTAGTTCTATTTTTAGTTCTCTGAAAAATCTCCACACTGTTTTCCATAGAGGTTGTACTAATTTACATTCCCACCAACAGCATCGTGTCAGCATTCCCTTCTATCTGCATCTTCACCAACATCCAACATCTTTTTGGGTTTTTTGACTTTTTAATAATAGCCATTCTGACTGGTATAAGGTATCTCATTGTGGTTTTAATTTGCATTCTCTGATGATCAGTGATGTTGAGCATGTTTTTCATGTGTTTGTTAGCCACTTACATATCTTCTCTTGAAAAATGTCTGTTCAAGTCCTTTGCCCACTTTTTGACAAGGTTGTTTTTTCTTGTTGAGTTCCTTGTAGATTCTGGATATTAGCCCTGTGTCAAATAGTTTGAAAATATTTTCTCCCATTTTTTAGATTATACATTTACTCTATTATTTTTATTTATTTATTTTTGCTTTGCAGAAGCTTTTTAGTTTAATCCATTTAAGTCTCATTTGTCTATTTTTTGTTTTGTTGAGTTTACTTTTAAGGACTTCGTCATAAATTCTTTGCCTGGACCAATGTCCAGAAGAGTTTTTCCAGGTTTTCTTCTAGGATTTTTATAGTTTCAGGCCTTACATTTAAGTCTTTAATCCACCTTGAGTTAATTTTTGTATACGGTGAGAAGTGTGGTTCTGTTTCATTCTTCTGCATATGGCTATCCAGTTTTCCCAGCAACATTTATTGAATAGGGTGCCCTTTCCCTGCCGAGAACTTTAAAAGATACTAAAGGCTCAACTCAATGAGTTTTTGCAGATAAAGTTTATCAAAACTCTTAATGATATTGTTAGCATACAACATTAATTCCAACAGCTAGTTTTATTTGCTTTTAAGTCTACTGAAGAGGTTTTTCTAAAAACATACTTAAAATATTATACCCAAAAGAACCTTCCTGACATTCTCTCTTCCTCGCCCTGCTTTATTTTTCTTCATAGTCCTTATCACCTCGCATTATTTTTTATTAGATAATCTCTTTGCAACATTGGGTTAGGCAAAGATTTCTTAAGCAGAACACAAAAAAGTATGGATCATAAAAGAAAAAATAACCAAATGGTAATTTCATCAAATCTTCTGCTCTTCAAAAGACAAACTGTGAAACAAGACAGCAAGTAACAGACTGGGAGAAGATAACTGATATATCTAACAAAGGGCTTCTAACCACAATATATAAGGAAGTTTTATAATTCAATGAGATAAAGACAACTCAGTTGTAAGAAGTTGGCAAATGATTTTAAAACATTCAGATAATAATGTATATTAAAACAGCCATTAAGTACATGGAAAGATGCTCAAAAATCACTAGTCATGAGGAAAATGTGAGCTAAAATCATAATAAAATACCACTATGCACTAAGTAGAATGACTAAATTCAATAGACTGATAATATTAAATGTCGAGGAGAATGTGGGACAACTTATATTTGTAACAGTATTATCCACAATAGCCAAAACTTGGATACACAAATGTCCATCAACTGGTGAACAGATAAACAAACTGTGGCAAATCTACATTTGGAAATACTGCTTAGTAATAAGGAATTACTCAACATGAATCAATTTCAAAAAAGTAGGCAAATTGAAAGGGATAAAACACAACAGACTACATACTGTATGCTCCTCTTATATGATATTCTAGAAAAAGCAACACTATAATGAACTATACTGTGGCTAGAGTTCAGGTAAGAGGTTGATCTTAGGGACATGAGAAAACTTCTAGGGTTCTATAGCTTGATTATGGTGATGGTTACTCAACTGTTCATTACAAAAACTCAAGCTGTAAACAAAATAGAATAAATTTTGTTATAGGTAAATGATACCACAATAAAGCTGGAAAAAAAAGTAAAACAAAAGGCAAAGATGGGTAAGAAGTGTCTCCTAGAGAAGAAAACAGCATAGAAAAAGTATGGCTTGGTTTTGGAGTCAGCAGTGATCATTTTACACCAGCAAGAAAGCATAGGCAAAAAACAAAACAAAACAAAAAAAAAGCAACACCAGGAAGTGCTCATTTTTAAAAACGGAATGAGGAATACTTCTCTTTCCACCTTCACTTCCTCAGAGCTGGACTTTGTTTTCCTACAAATGACTATTATTGCTTCATAGATGCCTCCCAAATCTACAAAGCCAGTGTTTATTTCTACTTAAATATATTGACAATGCCTATATTTCCATTTGAATGTTCTACTGTCACATCCAACACAATGTGTCAAAAAATTAATTTCCATCTCTTGCCTCCAAATCAGCTACCTTTTCTGTTTCTTTTAATGGTTGCACAGCTCAAACGCTAACTCTTCTTTCTCCTTCACTTGGCTCAATCCTCATCACGTCTTACTCCAAACATCTTTAGCATCTGTTTCTTCATCTACCTGTTCACTGCTTTCAGCAGTTGGCTTCCCTATCACCACACTCATTGACTGCCGTAATTACCTTACCTCTCTCTCAGCCTCCATACTTGTTCTCCTTCAATTCATTGTGTAGGCTACTTCATTACTCTATCTTTCTAAGTCTCTGATTTTAGCATTTTAATTATCTGCTCAAAAGTTTTTGGTGATAATCCCATTACCTGTGAGATAAAGTTTAAATCCCCTAGCCAGGATACTACAGGCCTCACTCAAGCTTGTCCCAACCTACCTCTCATCCTGCCTCCAATCTGCCCACCTCCATTAAAGACTCATGCCTTAAGCTTCCCCCATCAGAATGTAGGCCCGAAGAGCTAAGACCCTACTTAACTCATCTTTACTCAATGCTGTACCTCCAGAAGACTCTGTGAAATGTTTGATTTGGACTTCTTGCCTCTGTGCCCTTGGACATGCAGTGGTCTTTAACTTCTCATTTAAATCCTACCCATCCTTTAGATCCACACTCAAGACTTACATCCCCACCACTTTCATTAAACTCTCACTCCATCATGTGATCACTTTTTTTTATTATCTAAACCCTTGTTACTCAGTGTGGTCCTCACTGGCAAGACCTGAAGGCTCATTAAAAATACAGAATCCCAGCCCTGCCCCAGACCTAATGAATCAGTCTGCATTTGAACAAGATCCCTGGTTGTTTTCCATGCACATTGAAGTTTGAGAAGCACTTGTTTAAAGCACTCTAACTCTCTGTAAAGTCTGAGTACATTCTTACCCATAGCTTCTAAAAATTACAAACTCCCCCATATCTCCAGAACTTCCTTATTACCATGTCTGACAGATACACATTAACATGTTTTTCTTTTGTTAAAAAAAAGAATTCCTTCATTTAGTCTTCATATCCTTCATTTGGACATAGAGACAATTTTATAAGAGAAACAGAACTGGGTTTGGAGTCATATGAGGGTTTCCATTTGCACCATTTACTAAGCCTATGACCTTGAGCAGGTCACTAAGCCTGCATCTCAGTTTCCATACCTGTAAACTCAGTCAACCACCCTATCTTATAAAGTGGTTGTAAGATTAGAAAAGGCATGAAAGCAAAACGTTCAAACAATTTCTTTCTATTCTCCACTCACTCAAAGGCAGTATTTTTCCTTCACTTATACATTTAATAGCTTTAAAACTCAAGTGTTTATCACATCTAACCCATCTACTAGTTATTTAAAGGAGAATTATCCCTGCTTGTCTTCTTTTGGTATATTCATATCTTGGGCTACTATTAGTTTCACGTGTCTTTGGCAATCTAAAGCATCTTATTCATGAAATGAAAGATTAATGAATATTTCTTCCTCCTAATAAATGGCAATCATTTGGAAAGTTAGAAATAATTATTTCTAAAGGCTTGGTAAGAAATGATAAGTTCATTTATTATAAATCTTGGTAAAGAAATTCTTAAAGTGTTTCTGTGCTTGAGTCATTTCTTGGGATTTGCTTTTCTGAGTCACTATTTGATCACCCACTCTCTTTTCTGCAACCAGAGAAGAGTTTCATCTTACTGGAATTAGACTGCACTATTTATTGTTACCCTTGATGTGCTATGCTTATCACCTGTTTTTAACCCTCCAATAGCTACACTGATAGCAGGATTGCTACTGAAGTAATTTTTCTTCTTTAATCCAATAGAATAGATACTTTTACTGTAATTTATGTTTCTGCTTACAATTTGGTCTCTGGAATAGAACTTCACATTATTAATCTTTAATTATTTGTATAAAATTTAATATGTAATCATCTAAATTACAACAAAATAATATCCCATGTTATGTTTTCTTTTTTAAAGACCACTTATTCCCAGCCAAGGACGTTTGGAGGAGAGAGACACAGTTTAGTTTGTTTTTAACAAGATTAAGTAAAATAGAGCATCAAAAATTGGTAAACAAGAGATTATTATAAATAAAATATACTTACTAATTCTGTTTTTAAAGTCTTTAAAAATTCTGTTTTTAAAGACTAATTCTATTTTTAAAGGTTTCAGGCCAGTGCTATAAAGGTCAAAGTGTGATAGTATGATCCCGAGCAATTTAGATTAGTAAGGTTTTACAATCCTCAGCACTTAACAAGAATGTTCCATTATCACAGCAAATACAGTGGAACATTCATAAATATCTGCATGAAAGTCATAAAACCTATAAAGGCATCTACATACACTTATCAAAATCCAAATACTCCATTATTTCTCAACTAGCCAGTTAGAGGACCACATTTGTACTACATCTCTTCTATTCTAAGGTACATATGTTCTTATTTAACATTCCTAAAATTAGGAGATCTTAAAAAAATCAAATAAATGATCTGAGACTTGATGGCACATTGTAATACATCCACT
This sequence comes from Homo sapiens, assembly GCF_000001405.40. Lineage (NCBI taxonomy): Eukaryota > Metazoa > Chordata > Mammalia > Primates > Hominidae > Homo > Homo sapiens. The sequence continues at coordinate 75,771,168 of NC_000013.11, read as the reverse complement.
CAAAGTAACTTAGTTCACAAACTCAGAAAAAAAATTTTAGATCATAATGTGAAGATATTTGCCACATATCAAATAAGGCATTCTCAATCATGTACACAAATCCATTCTGGGTATAGCTGGCCTGGTTAAAAAGCAACTCATGATAATTTCTGTCACATAGCCCTAGAAAGAACGTCAGCAAATTTTTAAAGTCTGTATAAGTTTGTTTAGACAACATACTGGGAGAAGCACAAGCATGCAGGCAAAGATACCCCAGGAATGAAAAACCTAGCTTCATTACTGCCCAAGGTCATCTAACTAAGCAACTTACTCTTCTCTGCCTCATTGCAATTCAGGCATGTGAAGCAAAAGAGAAATACCTGGCTGGGCTGTTATTAGTTTAGAAATAATTTATGTAAATCACTTGACAGTGTTCGAAAGCTCTTATCTTCCAGTTTGTCTAAACTTAATTGCATCATAGTGACAGGAATATTTCTGAGATACTCTGGAGGCTATAATACAGAGATTTCCTAACCTCGTTGCTATTCATCACTCCAAATCCAGCATTCCCTTAGAGTTGCACACTCAATCACTTCTGTTCCTTAAGACCCAAAAGCAAAAATTAAGACTTAAGCATGTTTTTCTGCTTCTCTACTTTTGGCTTTAAGATCAAGGTAGGAAAGGAGTAGGTTTTATTTCTCTTATGTACACACAAGATTTGGGATCTGTCCATAGTGAATATGAAATATTCAGTGGATGCTATTGACAAGGCACAAGACAAAAGGTCCACAACTGAGAGGACTCAATAGCAAGGCTAGAGTATGTGAGGCTCTAGCCAAACTCCCCACACCACCCACCCACATCCCCATCAACATTGGGCTGCTTCTCTCTACCCTGGACAAAAAGCTCTATTTCTTAATAACTTGGCATAAACACCTATATCTAATGATACTACTCCTATTTCTCCTCCAGGACATGGACCAGGCCCCTTCGGTGGGGAAAAAAAAAAAATTCATCACCAAAACAAACAAGGATTCAGGTACCTTCAGGATCTGGCATGTCATTCTGTGAGGCCTTGGAAATCTATGTTCTTATTTAATAATGTGTGCGTGTGCTCTACTCTTGGGCATTTTATAAGTGAATATACCCCTATTATACACAAAATTGAGCATGAGATAAACAATAACTATGGGTTAGAGATTTTTATTTCTCAGTATGAAGCCAAAAGAAGTCTAGTGATTGGTCAGCCAAATTGTTGACCCAGATACACTAATTCCTTCGACGATTTTCTCCATATCTCAGTAAATTAAATAGAATACAGAAAAAAGCATTTCAAAACAATTGACAGCCATCAGTATTACTATAATGTAATGAAACAGTGAACTATAGTAATGACAGTAATACTTGATAAGCATCTAGGGACTTCTCCCTCAAATTGCTCAAAGCACACAGAGCAAACCCTTGTTAAATTGACAGTGGTTAATACAAACACAGCTTAATTCAAAGCAGGTGCTTCTCCCAAGCCCACAAGAACCCCACTTTTTCCTTTAACAGCTTAGGAAAAATTGGCTTATCTACAGTGTGGAGATTCAACATGTGTTTTTAATCTAATGAGATTTTATTACACTATAAAAATATCAATCATTTACATTTAAGAATAATGTTAGTATGAGTTACTGAGTGTACAAGTATACCACGTTTTTTTTTAATTAAAAGTTTTACAGTAATTCTTTGGGAACATGTTTTCTTAGGTTTACTGTGCATATTTGGTCAATGGTGTCTGAAGCACTAGTACCAAAGTCTTCAAAATATAAAGTGACACAGAATCCTGCCTCCCAGGTTAGTAGGGGCACTCTGAAAGGCATGTCTCTGAAAAACAAAGGATAAATCCACCAACAACCAATGCCACCCAGGACTGCTGCTCAGCATGACAGAAACCATACCAGGGCAATTACCCCTAAAACATAACTGCTCCATTAACCTAAACTCTAAAAAAGGAACACTAAACAGCCAATAAACAACATTCATGCCTACTCTATTTAACATTTGATAGTCAGGTTCTACTTTTTTAAAGAAAAAAAATAAAGTTTTATCTTAATGCATTTTGACATAATATTATACTTCCCAGTTTCTTGACATTTCATTGTACACAAGTGACACTGGAACTAAATAATAAGCATGGCTTTCATCTCAAACAGTACCTATTGCTATTTATAATTTTTTAATGCCTAAGGTAAAAAAACAAATATTTCAAATAACATAATCAAGATTTTTCATGTTGTTAGTGTAATAGCATTTAATGAATAAAGCAAATGAGAGAAGTCCAAAAGGAGCAGCTAAGTTTTCTCTAAGAGGAAAATGTGACTGCGATGTACATTTGAATTCAGTAAAGACAAGATTTTGAACACCTATTCCAAAAAGAAAAATATTCCTAAGCTCTACAAAAACCTTTCAGATAATAGCTTCTTATCTAAAGGATAACCTCTTTATGACCAAAATGACACTTTTCACAGAAATGAAGGGAAAAAAATGGAACGACAATAAAAATAAACTCACAAACAATGTGAAGCTTTGGGTTAGATTTGGTGTCACTGACTAGTTTAGATTTTAAAAAGTGAGGGAAATAAAACTTTCTAAGGAAACATTCAAATCAGATTTAAAAATTTCAAAGATTTTAGAAAATACAGAAAGAAGTTTGGTCTTGAAAAAGTTAATTCAATTGTGTTGGCCCCACATACACAGAGGCAAGAGCAAATAACTTAGCTGTCTGTTCTCTGTTCTCCAGCTTTGCTATTCTAATAAAATGGATAAATTGTTGATTTTATCAACAATTTGATTAACCATAAATGTCAGAAAAACACATTTGTTTTAATATCTGCTCCCAATGGAGAAAAGGGATAAGTTTTAAATGGCCTAAATTCTCAAAAATAAAGAGCTTGTAGTTTGTAAGCAAAATTTAAGCAGCCAGAGGCCAGATTTTTTCCTCTGTGTTTTCCTACAGGAGACATGTATCTTCTTAAAGTCAAAACAAGGGAAGCCAAATTATGAAAATGATCAGAATGATAATTCAATACCATTTATGGAGCACTTACTATATACAGGCACTATATACTTTATATACCTGACTTCATTTAATCATTACAACATCTTTGTGAGGTAGGGGTATCACCCAAATGATATGATTTGCCAAGTTCCAAGCAAAGAGCAATTACAACTGTCTAATTTACTATTACCAGGGTTTAGCACACAGTTTGACACAGAGCAAGCAATAAATAATTATTTGCCATAAAATTAAACTCATGGAGAAGCAAATCCATTACAGGGAGGAAAAGTAATCTGTCTAAGGTCATTCAGCTATTAACTGATATGATAAGATTAAACCCAAGTCAGGGAATACCAAAATCTCTGCTCTCTTCAAAGATGATTCTGTTCACAACCACGGATACACATCTGCTCAATGTGCTTGTTCCTTCCTGGAAAGTGACAAACTCAGCCTGGGATTTAGTAGAAACATCTCAAATAAACTGTGAAGAAATCTTCAAGTTTCTCTGTGTTCAGATCCTTCCAGTGTTTTTCTAGTTATGCCAAAGTCAAAGTTAATGTGACTTTTTTTTTGAGGAGGGCAGGCTTTGATGTTTAATACTAGACAAAGGTAAAAAGTGTACTAAGGCAGGTAACTTGACTTTAGAAGGAGTGAGGCTTACTGTAAACTTGTTCGTAAAATTTCTTAAAGTAATATTGATGACTTCTCATAAAAAATTACTTTCCAATGGGTTCCTGCTTTTAAAATGTTCTATTCTTTGCCCTTGAGCTTCTACCAAGATATTACAACTACCTATATAACCACCATGTTTTTCTACCGGAAAGTCTCAAGTATACACTTTAGATTTGTTTCACAAGATAAAAAGTGATCAGTGATTATGATATGAAGACACTGAAATGTTTCTAACACTTTATATAAAAAAATTATTTAAATGTCAGTTAAGCATTCTTAACATTTATTATTGGCACATCCGCACAAGGATTTATTAAAACTTTGAACTACCTTGAAAGGCACATAGTCCAAAGCTCCCATTTTAGTTTATTACATACAGAAATGAAACACACGCTCCTCTTAAACTGCATAAGTTTTAGATTATCTTGTAATATGCCATGTCATTATCATTATTCTGGTATAAGTAAAAGGCAACTGAAACCAAAAGTTCAGTGCCTGCTTTGCCAGATTTGCTTTGCATTTTTATAATGAGAATAAAAAGAGGATGAGTTGGCAAAGATTAAGACAGGTTTTTCCCCATCTTCAAAGCCTGGTTTTAAGATATCCAGGAAGTCTTTGTAATTGAAATCCAGTTTTCAAATAAACACGCAAAGATGTATGGTAACAGGAACCAAGGAGATAAAGGGAATAATACATACTTCCTGTCCTCAAATAGTTTCAAGTCTCTAGAAAAGCTAGACGTAGAGGAAATAAAAAGTCCTTTGAAAGCCCAGATGAGAAACCTATGTCATCTCCAATTAGATGAGTTTCCTGATTAAAAAGATGAAATGACTGCACATCTCTATATTTCCAGAGAAATCTGTGCATTTATCTTTACATAATGTATTAAATTTACAGGGCCATCTCCCCAGTCATAATGTGAACCCCACTGAGGGCAGGTCTCCATCTTATCTATGTCTGTGTAAGTATATGCCACATAGAAGATGCTGAATCAATGCTCATTATATAACAAACAAGTCATGACTTCCCTAAAACCAAAATTTCCTCTTACTGGATGAAGTGCCATTTTCTACTCTGTAGCTCCAGAAATAGATTTAAGCATACATACCCCCAATGCCTATACCCTCACACAAATAATCACTTAAATCAGGCCAGAATAGGACATGAAAGTCAGAAAAACAATGCTTAATACTTCTGGTTACTGGTAAAGCTCACATAAAAAAAAAAAAAAAAAAAAGACTGAGGGAACTACAGGTATTTCAGTATTAGCAATTTTAAAAGTTGGATTAAGTCAACATAGGCGGCCCTACAGACAATCATTTGAAAGAAGAATCTCTTCAACAAAAATATCTCTTTGGTTTAACCCTTCAAATGTCCTTGTTGTAAAACAAATGCTAACTGATCAGAGGAGACAAAACAACTTTCATTCTCCCATGAAGGGACTCATGTCAACTGCTATTTAGATTGGCCACCAAGTGAGGCCCTTTGCAGTAATGAACATAAGATAGGATCGTTTTAAAGATACAGACCCTGGCCAGGGAAGTCCACAGCATGAAGGCTTATCCAGCAGGCCAAGACAGAATCAGACCCCAGGGCTTTTTTGGATTTGAGGGAGTAGAGAGCAAAGGAAGAAGCACTGGCATTCAGAAACGTGGCTATCTGAGAAATAGATTAAGAACTAGAAATGGAGAAAAACAGATATAGACAAAACTTGAATTATTCAATGGCTTGTCCCAGCATCAGACCTGCCTCATATCCCACAACCGTTCCCTGCAGCTAGGACTCTTAGATATTCAAACTTTGTCATTAAAGAGCATTTCCAAATTTGACCATACATTTTTGCCAATGGTCTTAAACAGAGCCTCAGCCACCCAGAATTAATGTTCCATCCCTTCCAGTAAGCACTTCACAACAGAGAATGGTTGAATGGGATAGAGACATATACAATGCAATAAACTTCCTTTTCATTTTATGCTCTTCTAATAGTTGGCAGAAAGGGTACATTTTAAAATAGTCACATGAGTTGACAGGTGGAAGTCACCATGCTCAAGTTGCAGATCCAAGTTTGGATATCGTTAAGCTTGCTTAAAAAAAAAAAAAAAAGATGAAGATGTTGAGAAACTCATTTGAAAGACATGTACTTGCAAAAAAAAAAAAAGTAAAACTAGGTTTAAATTATTTTAAAAAGCAGAAATTAAATAATTCAAACTAGGTATATTTTACTTATATGAATAAACCTTAAATACACATATACACTTACATACCTCAAGCCCAATTTGGCAGACTGTTAAAACAGAGTGCCATCTGGGAACCTGATTCCTAAGAAATGACTTCAGAGCACTACCACAAAATCAAGCACTCTTGTGAAGCTTTAGCGAACAGTTACATCCTTAAAATATCATTTTGAGACTCTTTTATTTTCCTGATGGGAATATGTTAACACTAATTTTCATTCCAACTACTGTTCCTTTGGCAACTAGCATGTGTAAAGAGAATAGATTTTTAATATCTGTACTTTCATTTTAATCGACTTAAAAAAACAAACTCCGTTAATATCAATGTTTACTTAAAGTTATACTTTATACTTAAAATATCAATACTCTAGATAATAGAGTAAGTCTACACTAGAAAAGAATTTCTTTGCATGACAAGCAGTGTTCAAAGTCATTGCCACTCTGTAATGATATTATCAACAGAATGTATCTGAAGACTTGCCAAAAACTGGATTGGAATGGTAAGGGGGTGGAAAGAAGAAACATGTTTACAATCTGTTCAATTTCTCAGCTTAAAATTTTTGATATATAGAGCAATGGTTTAAATACAAGACTTAGTTTCTGAGTCAAATTGCCCAAGTTAAAACCTTTAATGGTTAAACCCTACCTTTCTGCCAACTTCAAGTTCTCCAATACAGGACCTCTAGGCTACTCTGTCAAGTTGCTTTCTACTACAAGCCATTGATCTGTACCTCTCCTAATGACCAGATGCCACCACAAAGACCATGACGCTTGCCAGAGGAGCTCTCCAGTGTGCTGTGGCAGGCTGGTGGGGCCATTATGCTTGATCTCCTACAGCCCTTTTATGGAAGGCCTGCACAGATGGCTCTGTGGGAACTTCACCACGTTTTCTTTGTGGAGAGTATGTGCTCAGTATGGATGTTTAGTAAATGGTTAAGAATGATGATCCAGTTTTTCATCCACACAAAAGATTGATTTCATGGCCTCAGATCGGGGTAGATCTCAATCTACCATTCATGGAGACTAAATCATAAATTTGCTTATTAGCATTTTGAGAAGAAAAGAGGTTGGATCCTACCCATTAAGTCAGGAATATCAAAATTAAAGGTGTCACCTGATGCTTGAATACATGTAGTCCCTAAATAAATAGAATAATTCAAACACACTTGAAAAAATTAAAACTACTGCTTCCTACAAAGTAAAATAATTATTAGAAAATTAGAACACATAAGAGGATAATTTACAGAAATATAAAGAATACTCTAGCTCTGTCTGATTGGTGAAAAGTTATTACTGTGAATTAAATTGTAAACTTCAGATAGCTAGAAAACTGAAAAACAGTTGGAGTCCTGGATTATTGAAACTATTCATTAACAACAGCTCTTTACTTGCTTCTGCTATTGCCACTCATTTTCAACATACACAACTCTGCTTGGGCTCCATACAGCAACTATCACCACTGCCCACTAACAAAAAAGTTCCCCTCATTTGCCAGCACAGAGGATATCGACTGTCCTTTCCTATTTGCTCTCAGTATGCGTCATGATTAGATTGAGTTTGCAGCAAGGCCAACAACAAGTCTATGCACCGGTAGATTCAGTCTGGGCAGTTATAATACAGCATTTTAAATAATCAAATCATTTGCTACACCTTGTTAAATTTAATGCATACAGATATGCAAAATAATTTCAAAGTACTCACACATATTACCACACTCTCAGACAAGTTACAATGCACCTTCCCATTTAAACAGACAATAAACATACTAACACAGAAATGCATAAATTATGTCTGTATATAAAAGTTATATTTTAGTAGAGTGTCAAAGGTGTCATAGTCAGTATCCTTCATTTCCACATGACTATTTTGCTGGCAGGGAGGGAATAAACAAGAAATTCTAAATCTAAAGCTAGAGTTTCTCAACTCCAGTACTATTAATATTTGGAGTAGGAAAATTCTTTGTTGTGGAGGCTATCCCGTGCATTAAAGTGTATTCAGCAGCATCCCTGACCCATTAGATGCCTGTAGCACACTCACCCAGCTATGACAACTGGAAGTATCTCCGGAAGTGGCCAAACATCCCCTGGTTGGCAAAACTGCCCCCAGTTGAGAACCACTGATCTAACCAACACTAAGTCCTTTGATCTACAATAATGACAGGACAAGAATTTTGACCCAAAGGAGTCTCCACATTATATATTTTTAAAAAGCTAAAATGCATTACTATTTAGTGAGCAATTATTTGCTTTTCTTTAAATCTGCTTCCTTTACTAAAAGTGCTATCTCAGGGCATAAGAACTTGGACAACATTTTTTAAAAAGTTGCTTGCCACTTTCCTGTGTCTCATCTGGGAGGCTCCAGTGCTTCCACTGCAGCATACCCAGGGTCAACCCCTTTGCTTTTTGGTCCAATGAGATAGAATTATCAGGAGAAATGTTCTTAAGTGAAGTCAAGGTTCCCACTCAGGCATTCTCACAGGTACTACTTAGGCACACCTTGCTTTGACGAACTTGTGGTTTCCACTGAAACAAGTTGTTCTGCATGCTTCTCACTACAGCTATAACTACGTGACCTCGCAGTTTCAGTTTGTCAGTAATTTCACTGAAGGCAGAGCCCAGATACTAATTTGTCTGAAACATTTTAGGCCCAACATCTCATGAAACAGGCTCCAGGCAAGAACTCTTGGACTTGGGAGCCAACAAACATGTTTCACCTAGTCTTTAGCCTACTCAAATATAGGCTACAGACTTTCAAAACAGAGTATATTATTTTAGGGGGAAGCACGTTAACGCTTAACAAGCATCAACAACTTAAGGAAAAGACTTTCAAAGTCTAAAGTTTCTTTGCCCATCAGATAGGCCTTATGAAGAAATATGTTGATAAGGAAAAATAAAACAAATACACCCAAATATTTAATTTTTATGGAAAGTAAACATGACCCCTACATACTACAGAAGCAAACATTTCACTTTGGTGATGAAATTTAGAATCTCTAAACTATCTTTCGATTAGTCAGAAATGCAGGCAGATTTATCCCTCCCACGTACATTTAATTACCATGGAGTTTAGAAAAGCTTATTCAACAGAACTAGAAGCAGGTTCAAAACAGTGTTCATTTAAAAACATATATTGTTAGACTTTGGAAGACTAAGTCTACCTGGATTTGGGGCTGTTCTGTGTACTGCTGGAAGACAATGTGTACTATCAAAGATACTTACATAGCTGGTTATTTTTCTTCAGAAAAAATAATTGGTCATCCAATTTTAAAAATAACTATTAAAGGTTTTACACAGGGATATTAACCACATAAGTTAAATCTTTGAACTGGTAGAAACAGATTTTTCCATTTTCATTATTTCTATAGATAGAATAAGGTGTTTATTTTCTCCCTTGCAAAAATGTTAATTAGGTTTAAGAGGCAGGATGACAAAGAGATAGTTATTATAAAATTAAATAATTTTCCTGTCACCTTTATCTAGTAACATGATTATTGATTGCCTGGAAGCAAATTAGATTTATAGGAAATATAAATAAATATCATAAGAGCTTAAAACCAGATTTCCTGAAACTGTATACTCCCACACAAACACCATTTTTCACCAAAAATCTAACAGATACTGGCATACGTGTTCTCACCCCCACTTTCACTTTCTCATCCACACTATTAAAATCGTGAAAAACAGCTCATTTTTAAAAGTCAGCCACAACTGACAAGGTCCTTGGCATTACATGTTGGTCCCAGGCGCTGCTGCCTTCACAATATTAAGAGATTCTTTTTTACTACTGTCCTATCTAATTTTTATGCTAATAATTATGTCTTAATTCCAAATATATAAAAAAATTTAAAGATTGTTGTTACTCTGCAAGCTATAATATAACCCCTAAATTCACTTTATGAGTATCCTCAACATTAGCAACCAAACACTACCATGTTGGACACACATTAAAATATTAACACTACCATTTTTGTCGGTATAGAGATTTATAGTAAGACTATGCTATGTTATGAGTTACAAACAGCTTCACCTTCACAGTCCCTAAGCCATTTTTAAAACAGTCTCTTTTAGAATGAGAACAGAGGAAAACAGAGAGAACAGAAGAATTTTTCTGTAATCATGAACTCTCAGCAATTCTTTTCACTTAAGCTACAAGCCCTAAGTTTAAATATATATATATATATCTAACAAACTGTTGAAACTTACTTGACAGTGACTCGATTTGATAAATCCTGTAGATCTCCAGGATGGAAAAGCTGGGCTTCTTTCAATCCAATCTGTTCACAAGCTTTCAAGAAAACGTTTATATTATCCTGTGAAAAGAAGTGGAAAGTGATTGCTTAGCTGAGCTCTCTCTCAGACAAAGGTTACAAATTTTTATGATATAACTTCGAAGCTTCAAAGTCCAATTACAGTCAGCAAAAGAGGCAGCAGCAAGACCCATGCATATGTATATTTGAAAAAAAATACATAGGGCTTGTACAGCCTTTCAGTCCTCCAGAGCATACACAGTCGTGCTATCTTATGCCCGGGCATACACTGTTTCTGTGATCTTTGTGACTGGCACGTTAAACATTACCTGTTACAGGACAAGTGCCTAGCCACTGAGCAGTAATCTACACTTTGATGTCAGCTCTGCTCTGCAAACAAACGCCCTCTTTCCAGCTTTGCACGGCAAGCCTCACCTCTCCTCTTTAAAAATAACTCCAGCTACTGACATTCACCCACCCAGAAACTGTTGGCAGGGAAGAAATAAGAGGAGGAACATTCTGTTTCTATGATTACAAATTACAGAACGACTGTGGAATACCACACCTGGAATCTGGGTTTGGTTGTTGAGCTGGCTCTTGACAGGCAGGGAAACCATACTATAGGACTGAGGAGAAACCTAGTGTTCATTGGCTAAATTGCATAGTTTGTGTGGCACATTACTCACTCCCTGCACCTGCCTCAAGAGCTGCCTCCAAAAATATGAAAGCCTATCCCCTCCCTCCAAGGTTGCCCTCATATCTAATTTCAAAACCCAAATCCTCCATTCACAAACCAGTGCTCTTCGTTAATGTAAACTGCTGTGCAAACACAGATTACAGTATATGCTATTTTAAAGCCAGCCACATTTCAGAGACATACATTTGGTTACCAGAATTAACTTAGGCTTCATCTCTACTACTCTAAAAAAAAAAAAGAAGAAGAAAAGAAAACACTTTATGGGGTTGAACTTGTGACAATCCCAGGCGGGTTCTCCATATTAACTGTTACAGTTCGCTGGTAAAGGGGTGGCCTCCCAGCATGCCAACACACATCTGTCCACTGAGGCAGCTGGTAATGCTGCCTCTATGGCGTGAGCCTCCTTGAAACCTCACCTCCCTCCCTAAGAGGCGACTTTCACAGACCAGAAGATAGTCTGCCACTTGGAGAAAGGCAATTACTCTTTTCCTAAGATAAAGTGGCTAAATTCTACAGCTTGGGTTCTTGGAGAGTAAGGGGATTCCGGGAAAGCACAAGGAAAGGTGTGGCAAGAGAAAAGCGCCACTGATTACTAAGGAAAGAGACATTCTAAAAAGTCACTATTTGTACAGGCAGGATCCTGGTCATTCCAATCTACTGTGAGTAAAAGGCAGTGCGAACTACCTAGCTGAAAGATGAAATCCACGAATCGTTTTAAATAAGATGAAGTCAAAGAGTAAAGAAACTTGCAAGTCAAAAGTTGAACAGCTCAATGAAAGGTGTTTATTTTGTTTTTCATTTGACTTATTATGGAAAAAGGAGACACAATTTATTGGCAAAATTCCAAGAGGAGCAAAATGTGATAATTTTGTTAGGCCCATAGTTTCTAAAAAGTATACTATCTGTAATTATCAAATGATACAAATTAATGGTTTTAAAATTGGCCCTCTGAGAAGCAGGCAAGAAAAGATGGTTGGATGTACCAATACCCCAAGTTCCATAATGATATGGTTTGGCTGTGTGTCCCCACCCAATTCTCATCTGAAATTGTAATCCTCACTTGTCAATGAAGGACCTGTAATCCCTGCATGCCAAGGGAGAGAGGCGATTGGATCATGGGGGCAGTTTCCCCCATGCTGTTCTCGTGATAGTGAGTGAGTTCTCAAGAGATCTGGTGGTTTTATAAGGAGCTCTTCCCCCTTCGCTCTCTCTCACCTGTCACCATGTAAGACATGTCTGCCTCCCCTTCCCCCATGACTGTAAGCTCTCTGAGGCCTTCCCAGCCATGCAGATCTGTGAGTCATTTAAATCTCTTTGCTTTGTAAATTACCCAGTCTCAGGCAGTTCTTTACAGCAGTGTGAAAATGAACTAATACACACAGGATGCAAGTCTCATATCAATAAAGGAAAAACAAACCATTAGAAGTCTTCACACCAATTCAACCAATTTGATTTGGTTCTGAATGTTTAAAGTATTACAAAAATATTAAAATAAGGTTAAACTAAAAGTAAACTTACTCAAATGAGAGCCAAAATGATTCTTCACATATTTCATACAAACATAATAGCATTCATCTAGTTGACAAATAGGTACAGATTGATAAGGATAGATAAATAAAGCCAAACTCTCCTCAAAAACCACCAAAGTAGAGAGAAAGAACTTGACATCTAAAGTGACTATACTTAGTTGAAGACAAAGTTCAAGAGAAGATACAAATTAATATGGCTAAATTCTAGCCTTAAATAAAGACTTTATTTTAACCAAAACAGCAGAATATCTTTTAAATCATTCAACGATGCTCAAGTTTAACACAGTACAACTTTGTAAACAAAGTCACACATGGCCTATGCAGCAGGACGAGGTTGTACTAAGATTGGTAATGTAGTCTCAGTCATTCCTACTGGATTTGAGCTCACTGGTAATTTATTCCTTGCAATTTCAAAGGATGCAGGCAAAGAGGTCCCTAAGGGTATATATAAAATTATAAAATAAAATTTTCATGACAGTTAAAACTTCAAGAAGCCACACCCAGCTCAACACATTAAAAGGGAAGTATTTAGTTGTTTAATGAAATAATTTTCACTTGAAATTAGCAAAAATAAAAGGGAAAATAAAGGACAAATTAAAACTAATCTTATCTAATTGGACTAGTCACCAGGACTCCAAGTTAACTTTGTCCCTAAACAACTGTGTGGCTTTGGAAAGAGAGTTAACATTTCTGGCCCCATTTTCCTCATCCCTGAAATGAGCAGTTTGTGAATCTGTAACCCATTATCAAGGGCAATCATTTTTCTCTGCAAAAGAAGAGGAGCCCAACCCTCCCTGGCCCAACCCATCACACAAATATTTCATTACCCAACTTCCATAAAATACTTCATGTCAAAATCCTGCTCTAAACATCTGTAAACCCTGTACTTTCAGGACCAAAAGTGGCTTCTCAAAGACAAACCAACATACACACACACACACACACACACACACACACACACACACACACACACACACAGAAACAATGAGCCCTAAATGTATCTAATAGCTCCTTTAAGCTTTAAATTTTTCTATGACTATGAATAAAGGGAGACACTACAAATTAAAGGTTCTAAAATTGGCCCTTTGAGAGGCAGGCAAGAACAGACACATGGCTTTAAGATTTTCATATTGTCTCCAATCTCCCTTCCACCCCTTATCCTTGAATCAATTATAAAGCAGCCATAACAGGTGTGGGGTGGAGTGGGCTAGGGTAACTTAGAGAGCTTAATGATCAGGAACAGCAGTTCTTACCACTGAGGTAGGATGGGGAAGCCACAAAGATCTACCAAGATAATCAAGGTTTGTATTTGTTCACTGTAGTACCCTATTAGTTATCTATTGGTGCATAATACATTATCCCCAAATTAAGCAGCTTAAGGGAATAGGTGTTTATGATTTCATTTAGTTTCTGAAGGTAATTCAGGAGTGGCCTTAGCTGAATAGTTCTGAATTGGGGGACCCTTCATTAGGTTGTAATTGAGATGTCAGCCATGACTACAGTCATCCCAAGGCTTTCCTGGAGCTTGGAGGAGCTGTTTCCAAGGCGGCTCACTCATGTGGCTGACAAATCAGGGCTGATTGTTAACAGGAAGCCTTGGTTCTTTACCAAATGGACATCTCCAAAGGGCTGCTTGATAGAGCCCGTGATCCAAGGAGCAAGATGGAAGTTGCAATGTCTTATGACATAGCTTTTGAAGTCACATTCCATCATTTCCTCAACATCCTGTTGGTTACACAGATCAGCCCTATTCCATGTAGGTACAAAAGAACATAAACACCAGGAGGTGAGAATCATGGAGGGCTTTCTGGGGGACTGTCTACTACATTTCACTCTCTGGACCCACCTCAGTGATTCATGTCCCAACCATGTGCAAAATACACTTACTCCCTAATAAGGCCCCAAAATATTCATCCCTTTACAAGGTGAACTCAAAGTCCAAAATCTCATCATCTAAGTCAGATCCAGGAGTGTCTGAGGCTCTTCAGGTGTAATTCCTTAAGTATGGCCCTTAAGTAAAGTTCCTCTCAACTTGAATGTCAGTGAACTAAGACAAGTTACCTGCTCCCACACTCCCAACATGCAATAGAGTGACAGGTGTTAAGATAATCACTATAGACACTCTAGGTCAGAGAGTAGAGAAATGAAAGGCAACACAGGAGTCACTGGTCCACAGAAATTCTGAAATCCTTCAAGACACAGGTTGGCAGTTCCTTCATGAAGACTCAAGGCCAGGTAATACTTCATGGTTTTTGGCTACACCCTCTGGATTCTTGGTGCCACCCTAAAAGTCATCTTTGCTTTTCACTGAAAAGTAGCCTATCTTTGTGGCTATGTAGGTTTTTCAATCTACTTCTTTACCCTACCCATAGCAATTGAGAGAATTAAGGGTCTCTTAATTTCATGATTCTCTATTCCTTTCAGTCTCAGCTGGCAGTGTTTCTGCAAATACAATTATCTCAAAGATACTACAGATCTTCTGTGAATCTTATTGGGGTTCATTCCATTAGACAAAAGATGCACCCATCAATCTCTTCAAGAGTAGCTCTTCTCTACCTTGGTCTCTTGCTGAGATGACTGGAGGACAATATCCTTAAGGTGCTTAGAAGCCCTATTGCTTGACTCGACAGATCTGCAAGGTACCGTCTTGAATCTAAGAACTTAAAGAATTTTACAACCACATCCTCAACTCCTTTTTAGGCCTTATTTTCCTGCAAATGCTCTGAATTTAATCTATGCCTGAAAACCACATCTCAGTTCTAGCATCATTTACTTACTAAAGAGACTGACAATTTTCAAAAGCAGCAATTCCTGTTTCTCTCATGTTTGTCACTCTATTCTTCACTTTCTCCTCTCACATTTTACTATAATCCACAAGAAGAATCGAGGCATCACTTCAACACTCTGTAGGTCACCTCACTAGAAGAATGGAATCTCCCCAGTAGATCACTTAGTTAATTGGGTAGAATTCCTAGGTACAAGGAAGAGAATATCACAAAGTGAGAATCACTGGGACCATTTTGGAAGCTGGCTACCACAAGATTTTAATAATAAAGAATACAGACCAGTCAAAAATTTAGAATAGAAAAATAAACGTTTAGAAATGTTGAGTTTCAGATGCCCAGCTAGTAGTAAGTTAGGTTTGCAGCCCATGAGAAACATTTGATTTTAAAATATGGTTTGGGAGTCTAGCACACATTGGTAGTCATTGAAATTAGGGATGTCAATGTGCCCTCCTTGCCCTGATAGCAAAGAGAAAGAAGGATTCACAGTCAACCACCAGCATTTAAAGGACAGTTAAAGAAAGAGGAGTCAAGAGAGAAAAATACCTGGCATCCAGATAAATCAGAAGAAAAGCAGAAGAGAATAGCATACGGAAAACAAGGGAAGAGAATACCATTATGGAAAACAAGGGAGAGAAAACAACAAGAGATTTCTTTCAGGAATAGAGAGGCAGATGACGCCATAAGAAAAACTACCCAAAGAATTTGAAAATCAAATAAAGTGGACATTTCATGGGCAAAAACTCCAGAAGACTCATGAGTAAATAATAAGCGGCAGTGAAGACCAGCCGCTGGCAACAGGTGAGGGACCACCCAGAATCTGAAAGACCTCCTTGGTCTTTCACTCTGCAAGTCTGTCTCCTACTCAAGCCTCCTATCAGTCCTGCCAAAGCTACCACTCCCCTGACCCTTCAGTGTTGGAATGCCTCATCCCTTGAGGGAAAAGGTGGGGAGAGAAGCAGTGCTCATTCTTATTCTCTTGACCCCAAATGTAGGGTTACATTCCACCTCCACCCAATATTTTGAGTTTGCAACAAACACAATTATACACTTCAATGGAATCTTAACTCTTCTCTATTTCCATTATAAATCCTGAAAAGAGTGTTAATGAGAATAGCATAAGGCCAATATGAATATTCTCACACTGGTGTCAAGGGTAAGACAGGACTTTGTTAACACCTCACCTTTCAGAGCCTTTCAACCCATTTTCCTTCCAAAAGCATTTATCAAGTAACATATTTTCATATCATTATAGCACATGTCCTTGCTCTTTCATCAGTAATGTAAGTGCTTGGGAAGAAATGTCAGGACCCAAAGTTGAATTCATCATTCCTATTTAAGCAAGCTCTTATCAGTCAGTATAAGGGCTCTCTCATTTTATTTTGTTATTTTAATTATTTTCCTCCTCATCCCACATTCCCACTCACTCCCATTCCTTTCTATTAAAAAGATGCCTTCCCCCAGGTATATATCCTATATATATCCCAAAGAATTAAAAAGATTCCCAAATAAGTACATTACATGTACATGCATGTGCATGTACATATCAAAAGGTACAAACCGTTCTGATGTCTGCTAAGAGGTAAATGGATAAACATGTTGTGGTCTATCCATACAATGGAATAGCACTCAGCCATAAAAAGGAATGAAGTACTGATATGTGCTACAAAACATTACAGTAAGTGAAAGAAGCCAGAAAACAAAAGTCACGTATTCCATTTGTATAAAATATCCAGAATGGATAAATCCAGAGACGAAATGCAGGTTGGTAGTTGCCAGAAGCTGAATGGAGGAGGAGGAAATGGGGAGAAACCACTTGATGTTAAGAGGTTTTACTTTGAAATATTAGAAATGTTTAATGGTTGCACAACATTGTGAATGTAATAGATGCTACTAAATTGTGTACTTTAAAATGGTTTTTAATGGTTTTAATACTTTATGTTATGTGAATTTCACCTCAAATTATTTTTTAATTTTTTAATGTCAATAGCTTTAGGGATACAAGTGGTTTTTGGTTACACAGGTGAACTATATAGTGCTGAAGCCTGGGATTTTAGTGTACCTGTCTCAAATTATTTTTTAAAGATGCCTTCTTTAATGTGTTTAAAAATATAAATGTCTAGTTGTATTAGTTCATTCTCATGCTGCTATAAAGAACTGCTCAAGACTGGGTAATTTATAAGAAAAGAGGTTTAATTGACTCACAGTTCCACAGGACTGGAGAGGCCTCAGGAAACTTAAAATCATTGTGGAGAGGGAAGCAAACACCTCCTTCTTCACATGGCAGAAGGAAGGAGAAGTGCTGAGCAAAAGGGGAAGAGCCCCTTATAAAACCATCAGATCTTGTGAGAACTCACTCACTAGCACAAGAATAGCATGGGGGAAACAACCCCCATGATTCAATTACCTCCCACCAGGTCCTTCCCACGACACCTGGGGATTATGGGAACTACAATTCAAGATGAGATTTGGGTGAGGACACAGCCAAACCATATCACTAGTCTAGGCAAAGAATGTATGACTGAGACCTCAAAAGCACGGGCAACAAAAACAAGAATAGACAAACGGGATTTAAACTAAAAGGCTTCTGCACAGCAAAAGAAATAATCAACAAAGTGAAAAGGTCACCTGTGGAATGGGAGAAAATATTTGCAAACTATATACATCCAACAGCAGACTGATATCCAGAATTTATAAGGAACAACAAAAGTCCAACTAAACCCATTAAAAAGTGGGCCAAGGATATGAATAAACCTTTTTCAATGGAAGACAAATGGCCAACAAAAATATGAAAAAATGTTCAACATTACTAGTCAGAGAAATGCAAATTAAAACCACTATATCATTTTACTCCAATCAGAATGACTATTATTAAAAAGACAGAAAATGACAGATGTTGGAGAAAATGCAGAGAAACAGGAATGCTTATACACTGCTGGTGGGAATGTAAATTAGTGCAGTCTCTATGGAAAACAGTGTGGAGATCTGTCAAAGAACTAAAAATAGAACTACCATATGATCCAGCAATCCCACTACTTGACATCTACCCAAGGAAAAAGAAATCATTACATCAAAGAGATGCCTGCACTTGTATGTTTTCTGCAGCACTATTCACAATAGCAAAGATATGGAATCAACCTAAGTGTCCATCAATGAAGGACTGGATAAATAAAATGTGGTATACATCCACAATGGAATACTATTCAGCCATTAAAAAATGAAATCATGTCTTTTGCACTAATACAAATGGAACTGGAGGCCATTATCTTAAGCGAAACAACTCAGATGCAGAAAGACAAATACTACATGTTCTCATAAGTGGGAGCCAAATAATGTATACAAATGGAAGTAGAGTGTGAATGATGGACAATGGGGACTCACAGCATTGTGGGGATGGGAAGGGGGTGGATGATGGGAGGCCGCTTGGTGGATACAATGTGCAATGTTCCAGTGATGAATGCACTGAAGGCCCCTACTTCACCACAGTGTAATATATTAAGGTAGGAAAATTGTACTTGTGCCCCATGAATATAAATTTTTTTAAATGTTCTTTGGCCGGGTGCAGTGGCTCATGCCTGTAATCCCAGCACTGTGGGAGGCTGAGGTGGGTGGATCACCTGAGGTCAGGAGTTCGAGACCAGCCTGAATAACTCATGGTGAAACCCCGTCTCTACTAAAAATACAAAAATTAGCTGGGCATAGTGGCGGGCGCCTGTAATTCCAGCTACTTGGGAGGCTGAGGCAGGATAATTGCTGAACTTGGGAGGCAGAGGTTGCAGTGAGCCAAGATCACGCCATTGCACTCCAGCCTGGGTGACAGAGGGAGACTCTGTCAAAAATAATAATAATAAAATAAAATAAAATGTTCTTTAACAAGTGCTGTTGCATATATAGAGAGAGAGTCTAATTTACATAAATGTCATTATGCTCCAGATTTCTCTTATACATTGAATCATTTCATTATGCAAAAGTCTAAATCCTCATGAAAATGTACTACAACACCCTAGGCTCTTACCCTACCCAAAGTCACTTTCACTTTTACTTGAAGGATCAAAAAATATATATTTGATAAAATTTCAAGCATGACAACCTCCCAAATATAAAGGGAATACTCTGCATCAGGGAACCTTAATGTAGCAATACAGAAATGTCTACTCATAAGATCAAGCCAGTTAGACCCACTACTGCAAAAACTTCCTGAGTGTACAGGGTCAAGAGCTGTCATTATAAGCAAAAGTGAAAAGACACTTTTATAAACAGTGTAAAAATAGAGACAAGGTTAATAAAAGGATTTATTACAAAAGTCCTAAATAAGATCAAAATCCTAATTCTGAAAATGAGTGAAGTTGTTCTCAGGGCTGTGACCTAAAGGCCTTACAAAGCTTAAACCAAGGCTCCCAGAACGACACCACCTGGAAGTGTTCCCTGTCAATTAACCAAATACTCTTGTCATGATTACTTTGGCCTGGTATTCCCAGAAAGGGTTCTTGCCTACTTTAAACAAGTTTTCAATTTAAAAAAGAGCTGGTCAGGTGCGGTGGCTCATGCCTGTAATCCCTGCACTTTGGGAGGCTGAGCGGGACAGATCACAAGGTCAGGAGATCGAAACCATCCTAACTAACATGGTGAAACCCTGTCTCTACTAAAAATACAAATAATTAGCCAGGCCTGGTGGCAGGCACCTGTAGTCCCAGCTATTCGGGAGGCTGAGGCAGGAGAATGGTGTGAACCTGGGAGGTGGAGCTTGCAGTGAGCCGAGATCACGCCGCTGAACTCCAGCCTGGGCGACAGAGCGAGGCTCTGTCTCAAAAAAAAAAAAAAAAAAAAAAAAAAAAAGAGCTGAAAAAAGAGCTGAGTACATGATGATGCTGATCAATTTATCCTAAAGACAAGATACTAGGTGACCTCGACTCCTTTCTATTTATAATCTGGCAAAGTCCCTGCCTCCTCTAACCCTGCAATTGACAGTGCCAAAAATGTTAGCAAGTATGTGCCAGCAATCAAGAGATAACTATTACTTGAAGCAGAGAAATTCAGCTAAGTCCATATCTTAGCATTATGATTTATAGACATGGGACCCCAGTCAAACTCATGAGAGGGAGTCACACAGCCATCCCTCAGATGCAACTGATGCACAGTCAAAATGGAGGACCACTGACCCAGTCACTTGCTACACAAAGCGTGGCCACAGACCATCAGCATCAGGGTCACCTGGGAGCCTGCCAAAAATTCAGAATCTCTAGCTACACCCCAGACCTACTGAACCACACTCTGCATTTTAAGAAAATCCCCGGCCAGTGGTGGTTCATGCCTCTAATCCCAGCACTTTGGGAGGCCAAGGCAGGGCTCAACTCCTTGAGACCAGGAGTTAGAGACCAGCCTGGGCAACATAGTCAGACCCTGTCTCTCTACCAAAAAAAATAAAATTATTATCCAGGTGCGGTGGCATGCACCTGTAGTCCTAGCTACTTGGGAGGCTGAAGTGGGAGTACAGCTTGAGCTCAGGAGTTTGAGGCTGCAGTGAGCCATGACTGCACCACTGCATTCCAGCCTGGGCAATAAAGCAAGACCCTGTCTCCAAAAAGGAAAAAAAAAAAAAAAAAAAAAAGGATCCCCCAGGTGAACTGAATTTTTGTGGACAAAAGTTTTTTGGCAATTAAAGTGAGGAAAAGGTTTTCATCAAATATAACTTAAGACAGTGTTTCTCTTTAGTATGCACATAAGTCACCCAGAGATTATGGAGTTTACTATTAGATCACCAAAAGTACTTGAATCTTATTCTTATGCTATATTGTGACCAGTTATTTTAAAGCAACTTCTAAGTAGCAGGGTGACTAAAATATATCCAAATTTGCATTTTAATTATACCGTTTCTATTAAGAAAGCAGTTGTGTGTGCTTTGATGTGCCAGCACTGGTTTTTTTTTTAATCTATTATTTTGGATAATCATCGCTTGTTATGGTATAACTAATAATGGCATAGCTAATAATAAACTTATTCTGCCAAGTAACACCTACATTTTATGACTATAATATATAGGCAAACACTCAGAGATCCAACGTCAATAGTTATTTGTGAAGAAAATAAGCAGTCAGTCTCAGCCATTTTTTAAAATTTTTCCTTGGGGAACCAATTTCTCTCCAAAAAAAAAAAGGTGGGGGTGAGGGCTCAGCCATTTGCTGATAACAAAGGAACTAAGGACAAGGAAAGCCGTAAAGTTTCATAACATATGAAAGTAAAAATAGGAACCAACTAGGAGAGCTTAAAGGAATTGCCAAGAGACACTGTGGGCCCAAGGGATTACATAGGATAACAATGCCAGCACCATTTGGCAGAGCTGGAGCAACAGCCAAACCAACGAGGCAGAGCTGAGCTGGCAAGTTAGGGCAGCAGCAGGTCAGGGAGGGAGGGCTGAGCGTTCTGGTAAAGGCTAGTTGAAATGCTTCATCCACTCGGGTTACAATTAACTACATAAAGCAGTAACAGGCTGTGGCAAACTGCAGTATGAATTAAGTGACAGTCTTGTATATGATTCATCAAATTAAACTTTACATCAAAAATGAGATAATTCTAAAACTCACCTACTCTTTTTTTCCAAAGTGCTGAAATAGATGCTTAAGTTCCATTCTCAAGTTAACCATGTTCCAAAGCAAAACAAATAATTACTTTAAGAAAAAATGTCACTGTGATGCTAAAATGCATATTTTATGAAGCACTAACACGTATTTAACAAGGAACACTATGTGGTAAAACTTTAAAGCCGGCTAGAAATTGGGGCACCTTTAGTGCAACCTGTCCCAACGATCTTTAGCATCACTTATATAGATAATGAGTCTGGATCATCACCTTTTGTTTAAAAATTTCCAGCCCCAGGGACTCACTGTTTTATGAGGCTGATTCACTTTTAATCCAGCACTTTGGGAGGCCTAGGCAGGAGTATTGCTTGAGCCCAGGAGTTCCAGACCAGCCTGGGCAACACAGTGAGACCTCATCTCTACAAAAACCTTAAAAAATTAGCAGGGGGCCAGTGCCTGTAGTCCCAGCTACTCCAGAGGCTGAGATGGGAGGATCACTGGGAGCCCAGGAGGAGGAGGTTGCAATGAGCCAAGATCAGGCCACTGCACTCCAGCCTGAGTGAAAGAACCAGACCCTGTCTCAAAAAAAAAAAAAGAAAGAAAGAAAGAAAGAAAAAAGACAGTCTAAAGACTCCCTCACTGTAACTGTAAAACACTGATCCTAAATCTTCCTACCTAGTAATGCAAACTAAATCTCATCTTCCTCCTATGAGAGCCCCTTCCCTACTTAGACAATTCTCTTGCCTCATACTCCAACCTCACATCTTCTCTTTAGATGCCCTTTGTTTCCTCAACATCCATTGTCCCTCATGTGACATTTTCCAGTTATTCCCAACTGACCCTCCCCTTAATAGCTAATTTTCCTAAGCTAATATTTACTGAGTTCTTACGATATGCCAGGTAACATACTGAACCACTTTATGCTAATTATCTTATTCAAATTCTTACCAAAAAATGTTGTGAAGTCTTATTATCGTTCCCACTTCACACATGAGGAAACTGAGGTGTAAGGGGTTACGTGACTTGCCCAAGGTCATACATTAAGTTGTGGAGCTGAGATTCAAATCCAGCAGTTAGATTCTTGAATCTGTGCTCTTAACCTCTGTATTAGTCTCCTATTATTTCCATAACAAATTGCCACTATTAAGTTGCTTAAAACAACACAATTTTATTATCTTACAGTTCTGGAGGTCAGAAGTCCAAAATCAGTCTCATTGATTTAAAATCAAGGTGCCCTTGGGACTATGTTCCTTCTGCTACACCTTTTAGGAGAGAATCCAGTTCCTCACCTTTTCCAGCTTCCAGAAGCCACCTGCATTCCTTGGCTCATAACCCTGTTCCTCCGTCTTCAAAGTCAGCAGCCTCATGTAATCTGCCAAGTAACACCTACATTTGATGACTACAAGATATAGGTAAATACTCAGAGATGCAACTCAAGGTGCCCAACTAGCTCTCCTAGTTGGTCCCTATACATGAGGATCCCTCACTCAGCCATCTATCTGGTTCTCCCTCTCCTCGTTCCATCTTCCTCTTACAGGGATGCTTGGGATTACACAGAGCCCACCTGGATCATGCAGGATATGCTCCCCATCTCAGGATCAACTGATTAGCAACCGCAATCCCATCTGCAACCTAATTCTTCCTTGCCTTGTAACATATTCACTATTTCCATGGATCACAATGTGAACATCCTTGGGGGCCATTATTCCACCTACCACAACTGCCATGCCACCTTAAAGACAAGTCCCTGTGGGTTATGTCCTCCTCCCTGGAATGAAGCATCTGTATCTCAAATACTGGACTCCAGGTGTGGCTAAACATCACTCGAAGGCTCACTGATAATGCTCGTCTCATGAGAGTAACAGTGTAATTGTGAGAGTTTAGTGAGAAAAAAAGATAAAATGTGATTGGCAGTTTCTAGCATACAGTGAGTGGATAGAATTCACCTAACTTCTCGTGTTACAGGCTATGGGTGCTTTTCATTGTAGCATCCGTATTAGGCCATCAGCTGAGATCATGTGTGGCAGCAATAGCCTAGTGACACCAACACCACTGTTCACAGGAAGATGACCTGTGAGCTGTAATGAACCATGGGCTAGTCAAATTTAGAAGAAAAGTAAGCTGGATATAGAGAAGAATCTGAATTGTAAACCCTATGATGGTATCAGTGAGGTGCCATGGATAAAGGTTTAAAATGCATGATTAAGTTTGTAGACAATATAAAACCACCCTCAACTCACGTAACTGATTTTTTTTTCCAACTAAAATATCATTGAAATTTATCCCTGATAAATATTCTTTTGGAGACTTAGGCCCATCCAGATCATTTTTTAGTCCAGATTTTTATATTTAGGACATTAGCTACACTTTATTGCTTCAACATGTACAAACCGGACTAAGTATGTTTGCCAGGTTTTCACCCCATCTTTTTTTTTAATGTAAACAAGGCAAGCACAAAGTCCTAAGGCCAACTACCAGAAACTTCACTTGAAGTTTACATGGATTTAAATATTTTGGCTTCTTGAAATTGAGCATGTTTACTCAACTATTTAAGATTTCACCTACAGAAGGTGTTATCTGGTCCACTTTTTCCCATCTTGACAATACTGAGGCCATGACAACAGGTACCTTGCAGGAATTAAAAAAAGATGCCTGAAGGGAGAAAACTGGTAATAAAAATGAATAAAATATAAATAAATAAAATGAACATAATGTCAAGGAGATGACAAGAGACCAAGGAAGCCAGAAACTCCCGTCTACAGGACATCCCATATAATGGTCGCTTTAGGGGAATGCAGGCCCATTGTTGGCAGATCCATCAATACAAGCCAGACACAGGGATTGCATCAGAAATCTCAGTATAAATAAATGTTGGCTCAAATTTTAAAAACAAAAACTGTACAAGATGAACAAAACCCACCCGCAGGCCATTCCACCACCTCTAGAGGGTTTCCCACACTCTCCATGGGGACACGCCCGTTGATCTGTTGCTTTAGAGCATTTTGTTTCTGGTGAACAAGGCTGGCTTCCAGTGATCACCCCATTTCTTAATAATCACAAACTATCCCTTTTACCATCTTTTCCATGATGCTGCCAGGGAACAACATTTAAAATCTACATCACTCTTTTATATATATATATTTACCAATTTGTGATCTTCTGCAACTTGCTTCATCCTCCACAGATTCTCTCTTGATTTTCCCCTACCCCCACCAACCTTCTGTCTCATATTTATTAACTCAATAAACTACTGGTGCAAAAGCCCCTCAATTCCCTCTCAATTCATTAGCAACTCCTATACACTCTTCCATCAAAACGTGGAAAATTTGACTACGTCTCAACAATACACACAGAGACCCTTGTTGCCACCATTCCCTCTTGCCTGGACTACTGCTTTTGTCTGGTTCTCAGGAGAAAGAGGATCAACCGGATATATATTGAAAGAGATTTATTATAAGGAATCACAGAACCAGAGAAGTCCCAAAATCTGCAGTCAGCTGATGAGCTGATGGTATAGTTCACTCTCTAAGGCAGCAAGCCTCCTCTAAGAACCAGGAGAGCTAATGGAATGATGTGAGTTCCTGTCTGGAAAGCAGCAGGCTCTATACTTAAGAAAAGCCAATGTTTCAGTTCAAACTCCAGCAGTCAGGCAGAAGAGTTCCCTCTTGCTAGCAGGAGGGCTGGCCTTTTTTTCTAGTCAGGCCTTCCATGACTGGATGAGGCCCATTCACAGTAGGGAGAGCAATCTGCTTTACTCAGTCTACAGATTCAAATGTTAATCTCATACAATAACAGCCCCACAAACACACCCGGAATAATGACTGAACAAATATATCTGGGCACCCTATGGCCCAGTCAAGTTGACACATACGATTAACCATCATAACCACTGAAATTGTTCAACTGGCTTTCCCTCATCTTCTTGATTTCTTTAAGTTTATTTTTCACATAGCAACCACTGATTTTGTATTATTCTTAACAGTTTTATTGAGATAAAACTCACATACCATATAATTCACCCATTTGTGTACAATTCAACATTTTTAGTATAGTCACAAATATGTGCATCCTTCATCACAGGCAACCAATGACCTAACAACAGATTGTTCTCAAAAGCCCCCAATACTTTAAGTAAAATGTAGCCTACCCAACAAAGCCCATGATGCCTTAACAGCCTCACTTGACTACTTCTTCTCATTCTGTTCAGACCCTCAGGACTCTCCTTGCTGATTCCCTCTCTGTTCCTCTGTCTGGAAACCTCCCACTCACCCCACCAGGGCCCACTCCAGGCTCCTGATCAAATGTCAACTCAGAAAGATGTCCCTGAGCCTGTTTCTAAAATGCTTCTCATACACACACTCAATCATTCTTTATTCACATTGTTTTTTCAGTGTAACTATTGGTAACTGATAAGGTATTATATATTTTTTCACTGTAATTCTTGGCATCTGGAGCTGATATGCCATTTCATCACCTCTAGCATTTCTCCTGCACTCTCCACGGGAACTGACACATGGATCTGTTGCTTTAGAGCACTGTGTTTCTGGTCGACAAGGCTGTACTCCCTGCAACCCCCCACTCCATGGCATGTCAGCCCCATAAGGGAGAAATGTTCTCTGTCTCTTTTACAGCTATGACTCTGCCTTGTTTATAGCTGTGTCCCAAGTTCCTGAAACAGTGCCCGACACATAGTAGATGTTCAATAAATATTTTCAGGATGGGAAGCACAGTCATGGGCCTAAGATAAATTGGGTGACCAGTGCCTTCACACCAGTTTTACACCTTGGATTCTATTTCCTGTCAACTTCATTTGCTCTTCCCTTTTCAATTTCTACGTAACAAAAGGTACCTAAGGGGAGACATTCCAAGTTTATCTGAACGAAACTGTCATGTATGATATAATCCTACTCAAATACTGAAACAATTATTTTTACCTCTACAAGTTAATTACAGTGTTGCTTTAGTAATTCTAACTCATTAACGTTCAAAAAAAAAGTTGCCCTAAGGCTGAAACTTGGCAAGTAAATGTTCATCTTAGATTTAAAAACAGGCAGGTTTTGGAACTCTAGGAAGTGTTCTTAAACTTGTGCCAATGTTATGACTAAGAGATTATGCTAGAAATAAAATAGCAGTTTCTTCATTTGCAGTGCCACGTCATGAGGGTATTGGAAACAACTACAATGTTGACCCCAAATTGTTAAGTTTTCTTTCTGGGTGACACTGACCTTTAATTGGGAATGGAAGAGATAGAGGCAGACAAGGAGACTCAAGGAAATTTCCTAAGAATACATTATAAATAACTCTACCATAATGAACTTATTTATATGCCATTTACATGACGGGTTAAGGCATTCAGATATTTACTGTCAAGTATTTGTTATCTTGAAGACAGCAATGCACAATCTTCAGTTTATTCATACTGGATAACCTCAAACTATGTCAAATTACAAGTGGTGATCCATAGAAGTTCCAGTAAAATAGACATTACAAAAAAATTACTTAAATTAATATACAACCTTGAAAAATGTCATTTTTTTAGTGTGTTTTCGTGGGGTTTTTGTTCTTTTTTTAACCTGTGCACATGCAGGTATGTTATACAGGTAAATTCATGTCATGGGGGTTTGTTGTACAGATTATTTCATCACCCAGGTACTAAGCCTAGCACTCATTTGTTATTTTTCCTGATCTTCTCCCTCCTCCCATCCTCCACTCTCATGTAGGCCTCAGTGCCTGTTGTTCTCCTCTGTGTCCACGTGTTCTCATCATTTAGCTCCCACTTATATGTGAGAACATATGGTATTTGGTTTTCTTTTCTTGCATTAGTTTGCTAAGGATAATGGCCTCCAGCTCCACTCATGTCCCTGCAAAGGACATGATCTCTTTCTTTTTTATGACTGCATAGTATTCTATGCTATATATGTACCATATTTTCTTTTTCCAGTCTACCATTGATGGTCATTTAGGTTGATTCCATGTCTTTGCTATTGTGAATTGTGCTGCAATGAACATAAACATGCATGTGTCTTTATGATAGAATGATTTGGGTATATACCCAGTAATGGGATTTCTGAGTCAAATGGTAGATCTATTTTTAGCTCTTTGAGTAAACACTACACAGCTTCCCACACTGGTTGAACTAATTTACACTCCCACCAACAGTTTATTTTTCTCCACAACCTCACCAGCACCTGTTATTTTTTGACTTTTTAGTAATAGCCATTCTGACTGGTGTGCAATGATATCTCATTGTGGTTTTGATTTGCATTTCTCTAATGATTAGTGATGTCGAGCTTTTTTTTCATATGCCTATTGGCTGCATATATGTCTTCTTTTGAAAAGTGTCTGCCCATGTCCTTTGCCCACTTTTTTGTGGGGTTGTTTTTTCTTGTACATTTGTTTAAGTTGCTGTGGATGCTGAATATTAGATCTTTGTCAGATGCATAGTTTGCAAAAATTTTCTCCCATTCTGTAGGTTGTCTGTTTACTCTGTTGATAGTTCCTTTTGCTGTGCAGAAGTTCTTTAGGTTAATTACATCCCATTTGTCAATTTTTGCTTTTGTTGCAATTGCTTTTGGCATCTTTGTCATGAAGTTTTTGCCCATGCCTATGTCCAGAATGTTATTGCCTAGGTTGTCTTCCACAATTTTTATAGTTTGTGGTTTTACATTCAAGTCTTTAATCCATCTTGAGTTAATTTTTGTATATGGTACAAGGAAAAGTTCCAGTTTCAATCTTCTGCATATGGCTAGCCAGTTATACCAGCACTATTTATTGAATAGGGAGTCCTTTCCTCATTGTTTGTTTTTGTCAGCTTTGTCAAAGATCAGATGGTTGTAAGTGTGCAGCCTTATTTCTGAGCCCTCTATTCTGTTCCATTGGTCTATGTGTCTGTTTTTGTACCATAACATGCTGTTTTGGCTACCATAGCCCTGTAGTATAGTTTGAGGTCAGGTAGTATGATGCCTCCAGCTTTATTCTTCTTGCTTAGAATTACCCTGGCTATTGGGGCTTTTTTGGTTTCATATTAAAAATTTTTTTTCCAGTTCTGTGAAGAATGTCATTGGTAGTTTGATAATAGCATTAAATCTATAATTTGCTTTGGGCAGTATGGCTATATTAATGATTTTGATTCTTCTAATTCATGAACATGAAATGTTTTTCCATTTATTTGTGTCATCTCTGATTTCTCTGATTTATCTAAGCAGTGTTTGGTAGTTCTCATTGTAGAGATCTTTCACGTCCCTGGTTAGCTGTATTCCTACGTATTTTATTCTTTTTGTGGCAACTGTGAATGGGACTGTGTTCCTAATTTGGCTCTAGGTAGGACTGTAGTTAACGTATAGGAATGCTAGATTTTTGTACATTGATTTTGTATCTTGAATCTTACCTGAAGTTGTTTAACAGCTTAAGGAGCTTTGGGGCCGAGACTATGCAGTTTTCTAGTTATAGAATCAAGTCATCTGCAAACAGGAATAGTTTGACTTCCTCTCTTTCTATTTGGATGCCACTTATTTCTCTTGATTGATTGCTCTGGCCAGGACTTCCAGTACTATGTTGAGTAGGAGTAGTAAGAGAGGGTATCCTTGTCTTGTATCAATTTTCAAGGGCAATGCTTCCAGCTTTTGCCCATTCAGTATGATGTCATCTCTGGGTTTGTCAAAGATGGCTCTTATTATTTTGAGGTATATTCCTTCTCTACCTAGTTTATTGAGAGTTTTAACATGAAGCAGTGTTGAATTTTATCAAAAGGCTTTTCTGTATCTATTGAGATAATCATGTGGTTTCTGCCTTTAGTTCTGTTTATGTGATGAATTACATTTATTGATTTGCCTATGTTGAACCAACCTTGCATCCTAGCAATAAAGCCTGCTTGATCATGGTAGATAAGCTATTTGATGTGCTGCTGGATTCAGTTTGCCGGTGTTTTGTTGAGGATTTTTGCATCGATGTTCATCAAGGACAATGGCCAGGAGTTTCCTTTTGAAAACATCAGTGTAAACTGACCTTATTTTTAGTAAATGGCTAAGTTTTATGCTATAAATTCTTACACAAGTAGAATAATACATTGATAATGGTAATACTATAGTACTCTCCTATGTCTTTATTTGGAAGAAAAAAATACTCCGTTTTTGTTATTGGTGTTTTGTTTTTAAGGAAATTGATGAGATTGACAAACTAGTAAAATAAGAACGTTTAAATGTTAGTGTTTGAAGCATTATGTCACAAATTGTGAGAGTGGCTCACCCTCCCTTTGAAATAAAAATATTTATTCAATGTAGTTTTAATAAAGAACCACAATTTAGCAGTTTTAATCAAATTTATTGATATCCTTTAACATTCACTGTCTCTATTAGGAAATGAAAGAAAAAGTTAAAAATCAAATATCTTTTAACTCAACGAAACACCAAGGTCTGATGCAACAGATATGAAATTGCTCCAATACACTGATAGGTGAAAAATAAATAAAAGTTAAAGACCATGATAATTTACAGAAATATACAGACTTCAATATTTATCTAATGTACCAAAAAACAAAAGCAGACTTGAGGCAGAAGTTGTGCCAGATCGTTGCTACAGGAGGGGACTTCAGTGTTGCCCCTCCACACCCTCCTTAAGTTGCAGAGGCTGTTTACATCCATCTGATGATGGAGGTCATGACAGCCAGAATCAGCCCAGTACCAATGCTGCTGTTAGTGACTAGGCATGTAATCAGGCAAGGATGAGGGAGTCACACAGAATTCACCCAGCAGAAACCTTTCTTAAATTTTCTAGGTAGATATTCTCCTCAAACAAATCTACAAAATCAGCAATAAAATTCCAGAAGAGAAAACAGACACTAATGATCTTACCTTTAAGTGGTTATTTTAAACTAGCTCTACAATACCACCTTCCCATCTCTTCCCATGTTGTTGCTTATATCAGTATTTTGCTTCTTTAATTTACGTTATTTATTGAAAGAGATGGAGTCTCACTCTGTCACCCAGGCTGGAGTGCAGTGATGCAATCATAGCTCATTGTAGCCTCAAACTCTTGAGCTCAAGCAATCCTCCCGCCTTGACCTCCCAGAGGGCTGGGATTACAGGCGTGAGTGACCAAACCCAGCCCCAGTGTTTTGTATACTTCAACATCCAAACATACTCACAAATGTCTGTCTTGCTTATTACCACTAGAGAGATACTCCCTCTGAGACACACATGCGGCTTGACCCAGCACAGAGCAACCCTCTGTATCACCACTCTTTCAAGCAAGGCACATATTGTCTGCTTATTCCTGTAACTCATCCAAGCCACATTCTAATATTCCTTAAGTATTTTCTCTTCAACCATACAAAATTCATTCCGGCCTCCTACTCAGAAAAGTGCTACCCTTGAATGAAAACAGTAATTATATTTGTACTTTTTATGTTATTTCAACTTAGATGAGAAAGAAGAGAAAAGAGAAGTGGGCTTTTTCCCCAAAAAAGTACTCTGTCTTGAGGTCTCATCTCTTGGTTTCAATTTTGGAAAGGGCCCACAAGCTCCAGGGTCCCACAAACCTCCCCTCTCCTCCTGAAGAGAGAATAAGTGGGGATAGGACAAACAGAGTCATGGCACAAGAATGATTTTTAGAAAAGTACAGGACAAAACTTGGGTAGAAATATTTAAATTATACAGCAGATTCCCCAGGTGAATTTTCTATTGCTGCTGGAAAGGAACAACCCGATGTGTCAGCAGTGATCACCACATAGAGCAGGTCACACTATTTTGCCGTGGGAGAGTGAGGGGAAGTGTGTAGGAGAGTAAAGATGAAAGAGTCAGAAGTAATTTCACACAGGTACAAGAACATTAGCCAATAAAAACTTTCCAGAAAATAGCAGTAAGAAGGGATGCATAGACTTGCCTTTTATTTATTTCCCTTGCCATTATGAAGGCAAGGGAAACTGACACATCCAACATCTTAAGCTAGCTGGCATCACTGCCCATTTCCTGCTTTCTACAGCATTCCTGAATGAGGAGACAATCTTCCCAGCCTCTATGGTCATGCCTTACACATTCTACTCCTGAAAGTAATCTGAAAGATGCTCAATTCAGCCCATATTTTTTACACAAATGTGAATATACTGAGGATTTTCCCACTGAGCCCACTGACACAGACATTCAGAGGAATTTGATTCAATCCAAATTTTCTAGAATATCTTTGCTTTTCAAAGGGAAATTAAAATGGAAAGCATGAGTAGGTAATCAAATCTACAGTCAGCCAGCCAAAGAGCCTGTGTAAAGGGCAGTGTTTAATTTCTTAATTCTTTAGCTCAGTAGTTCTCAATCAGGGATGATTTTATCCCATGGGAGTCACTGGCAATTTCAAGAGATATTTTTAACTGTCACAAATGGGGGAATGGCATCTAGTGAGTAGAGGCCAGGGATACTGCTCAAGATTCCACAATGCACACGACAGACCTCCACAACAAAGAATTATCTGGCCAAAGTGTCAACAGTGCCAAGGCTGAGAAACCTTGCTTTAGCTAAATGCAAATAAATCATGAGGGGTCCAGGCTGACTATAGGTTTTGGGGTTAATGACTTCCCTGATGTTTCTACACATTTTATATTTTGTGCACACTAACATATCAGATGGTAAACATTATTCTGGTTCAATAGCTCTTCTTACCATCAGGATATCTCACCTGTTTTTCAAGGTTTTGTTTTGAGATTGGGTTTTTTAAAAAAAATCCCAAATAAAGTTTTGGTTTTGAGTTTCAGTGATTTGAACATACCCACATTTAACAACAGCTATTCTTCTGGAAGACTCAAACTCTTGGGTTAGATTTTTTTAAAAAACATGGCTTTGTGAAGAACAGAAAGAAGAGATAGAGAACATGTATTTCTTTATAAAATTAAACTCAGCCAAGTGAGAAAAGCCCTATCTCTATAAGAAAAAAAAATCTAGGAAAACATGGTTACTGTCCTCCCAAAGAAAAAATAATTGCATGAATGTTTCAAGCAAAGCATTCAATATATTTCCAAACCATCTTAACATCTCTCTCTGTATTGCCATTGCTCAAGGGATATCTTCTATGGTTTTCCCACAGGTCCATATGCAAAAGGTAAATCCATTGCCCTGACACCGAAGCTAAATACACATGGTAGCTGAGGTTACTTGGATGAAAAGCATAACTATAGCAAAGGATGTAAGAAAGGAGTAATGGAAGATGGGGTGTGGAACACCGTAACAACTCAGCTTAAACCCTTACACAGAAATTTTTACTATATTTGAATCGCCTTGGTGAATCTACCTTACACAAACCTCCTTCACAGTACCCACGTCAACCTGAACTGAATGAGCCAAAAAAAAAACAACACTCCTGACCACAGCTCATTTGGCCAAGACGACTGTCTTCTTATGGAACTCATCCACAGGCTGGCCAGTGACCTGGGATATCTGTAGCCTTCAAAGAAAAGGAATCCATTCAGATTCCTCTTTGGGAACCTCAACTAAGAGACACCAAAAAAATTCTGCTGGAAATGGGGAAAACTGGGTGAAGAGTACAGAGGACATTTTTGTACTGTGTTTTTTTTTTTTTTTTTTTTTTGGCAGCTTCCTGTGAATCTATATTTATTTCAAAGTAAAAAGTTTTTTTTTTTTTTTTTTTATTTTATTTTATTTTATTTTTTTTTTTTTTGAGACGGAGTCTCGCTCTGTCGCCCAGGCTGGAGTGCAGTGGCGCGATCTCGGCTCACTGCAAGCTCCGCCTCCCAGGTTCACGCCATCCTCCTGCCTCAGCCTCCCGAGTAGCTGGGACTACAGGCGCCCGCTACCACGCCCGGCTAATTTTTTGTATTTTTAGTAGAGACGGGGTTTCACCGTGTTAGCCAGGATGGTCTCGATCTCCTGACCTCGTGATCCGCCCGCCTCGGCCTCCCAGAGTGCTGGGATTACAGGCGTGAGCCACCGCGCCCGGCCAAGTTTTTTTTTTTTTAAAAAAGGTATTAACTAAAACATGTACCTATCTGTATTAATTTCCTAGAGCTATATTTGGTACTTTGTTCCTTTTGGAACAAACCAGGTGGCTTAAGGCAACAAAGATTTTTTGTCTTACAATTCTGGATGCTACAAGTCCAAAATCAAGGTGTTAGCAAAGCCACACTCCCTATGAAATCTATGATTTGCCAGCAATCGCAGGTGTTCTCTGGCTTGTAGATGCATCACTCCAATCCTATCTTTATATGGCATTCTTCCTGTGTGTCTGTGTTTTCACAGGCCATCTTTTTAGAAGGACACCAGTCATATTAAGATTAGGGGCCCTCCTTACCCCAGTATGAGCTCATTATAACTAGTTATATCATCTCCAACAACTCTATTCCCAAATAAGATCACACTCTAAGGTACTGGGGCTTAGGACTTCAATATATTTAATTTTGGGGTTGGGGGGAACAATTCAACCTATAGCACTATCCCATCAAAGACCCAATTCTAGAATCTATTATTTTTCACAATGGAAATCTTGTTCATTCATTTCTTTAAAAAACCTTTGATCTCCTATATGTATCAGTCACTATGCTAGATGCTGTGAACACAAAAATGGCTAGTATGACAAGTCTGGCTCAGATTATTCATTCTTCTTCTGGAAGTGTCAACTAAGGCTTCTAACATCCTCCTCCTCAAGGAATCCTTAGAGGTCAGTCTTCACAGTTCCCCTACAACTGCTCATGGACATGCAGCAAATGTCACAGTCCACTGTAATGCTCTGTGGCACATTTATTACGTGATGCTTTCTTGCTTGTTTGCTAATTTATTTGCCTTGTCGTCCCTCCTTCACTAGAATGTAAACTCTTTGAGATCATGGTTTGTGACTTCTTTGTTCCTCTGATACGCAGCTGTAAACTAGAAAAATCTTCAACCTAGTAGGCATTCAATTATTTATTTAAAAAACAAACATTCTTTGACTATCTGCATGTCAGACCATCTGTATATTATCCTTTTAGTCCTCATAACAACCCTTCCAGGCATCTGCTGGAGCCCTAATTCATACTTGGAATTAAGGCTTTGAAAAGTTTTAATATAACCATCCTGACAAACAGGCATCAGAAGGAGTCAAGTGAGGCATGATGACAACTTTAAACCAATTGGGCTTAGCCCAGTTCTGCAGCTGTGGTCACTCTTATGCTCCTATAGCCAATTGAAAATGCTCAGTGTCCTGTATTCGAAAAATATTCCTATTTAATATACCGGAAACACAGTTCACTTTAATTTCTAAAGATAAAATCTAAACTAGATAGAATTTCTGAAGCTTGAAATAGAAATACTTGGAGAGATCTTTGAATTTAAAAATAAAATACATTTGTGCTTTCATATAATCATACGATCAGAAAATTGAATAAAACCTCCACTGGCCAACAACAACAAACCACTACAATTCGAGCATTCCAAATATGCAGGGTGTTTGAGATCAAAGTCTAATTTGCTTTAAAATGCATGTAATTGATCCAAGAAATGACAATTTTAAATTAAAGCAATAAGCTATTTAATTCAAGCCATTTGAAAAAATATTTTCAATACTATTGAAACTTACTATTAAAAGTATATTATATAATAATAAGTTATTTTATAAGTCATTTTTATATAAAGCTTATTTGTTTTATTAAACTGAATATTTCCTCCAAGAAAGCGCAGTGGCTCACGCTTGTAATTCCAGCACTTTGGGAGGCCGAGGCGGGCAAATCCCAAGGTCAGGAGATCAAGACTACCCGGGCCAACGTGGTGAAACCCTGTCTCTACTAAAAAAAAATACAAAAAAAAAAAAAAATTAGCTGCGTGTGGTGCCGCGCGCCTGTAGTCCCAGCTACTCAGGAAGCTGAGGCAGGGGAATCGCTTCAACCCAGAAGGCGGAGTTTGCAGGGAGCCAAGATCACCCCACTGCTCTCCAGCCCAGCGACAGAGTGAGACTCCATCTCAAAAAAATTTTAAAACAGACTTCAAAAACTAAATTTTTTTCATTTTATTCCTTAAATAACAAACCTCTTCTGACTCACTGTATTACTAGTAGAAAGTTGTGTGTGTGTGTGTGTGTATACAAATACACACAGAACCCACCAATCTTAGGTGTTCTCCCATTTTTGGAAAGGGCTCACAAGCTCCAGGGTCCTACAAACCTCCCCTCTCCTCCTGAAGAGGGGGTGAGTGGGGGTGGGACAAGTAGAGTCACAGCATGAGAATGATTTTTAGAGAAGTACAGGATAAAACTTGGGTAGAAATATTTAAATTGTAAAGCTCCATGTGTATGTACATACATACACACACACACACACACACACACACGTAATTTTTTTTTTTTTTTGAGACGGAGTCTCGCTCTGTCGCACAGGCTGGAGTTCAGTGGCGTGATCTCGGCTAACTGCAAGCTCCACCTCCTGGGTTCACACCATTCTCCTGCCTCAGCCTCCCCAGCAACTGGGACTACAGGCACACAGAGCCATACCTGGCTAATTTTTGTATTTTTAGTAGAGACAGGGTTTCACCGTGTTAGCCAGGATGGTCGTCATCTCCTGACCTTGTGATCCGCCCGCCTTGGCCTCCCAAAGTGCTGGGATTAAAGGCGTGAGCCACCACACCCGGCCTATATAATTTGAAACCACTAAAATTATTAGGTCAGCTGTCTATTAATGATAGATATAGAATGGAGGCAACTTGGTAGGAAGGAAGGAATTAATATTTGAGCCCAGCTGCTCTGGGAACTTTATGTATATTTTATTTTGAAATAAAATTATTAAAAATTTTTCATTCCTTCTCTCCTAGACAGATATTTTCTGAGAAACACTCTGCAACCAACACCCTTATCAAGAATTTAATGACATTTTCATAACTTGTGCAAATCCAGAAATTTTGGTATTGCTAACTTTAATTACCCATGCCTTTAACATCTGTAAACACATGAATGGTCAAACAGAAGCTTCCTGAATGCACTATAAACAGCATGAATAGTGTAAAAATAGTAAGGTTTCTGTTTACATTCTAATTATTAGCTATCTTAAACTTCAGAGTTTTCTGAAGTTGACTTAACAGACTCCTATCATTGCAATGATTTTTAAGGATTTCTAACATTTTAAAAATTATCCATCATTTGTATTTGATTGTAAATTATTTCCACAGACAACGCCCCGCATTATTATTGTCCTCTGAAATGTCTTACCCCGTCTGAGTAGCTACCTTGGGACAGTGTGGGGTATATTTTATACACAAAATCCTGATTTGAAAGCTAGAAAGAACCTACAGAACCATCACATTCATTTTATGGGTAATATTATTGTGGCAAAGAGAAAGACAGAGACTTGTGCAACCTCACACAGGACTTTGGTGGGAAACCTATTACATAAAGTAACAGAGTTAGCAGGCCTTGACTATTTTGGAAATGCACTTAGGATCTGTGTGCTGGCTGAGGGTAATGCACAAGCATCATGTGGCAGAAACATAACAACTGGTGCACATCTCGCAGTCTGGGCCACCATTGTGGTAGCCAGCAAACAGCGCACACAGGGCTGAGCTTCAGAAGGTGACCCTGAACAAATGCAATTTGTGGAAGAAATAAGCCAGGAAAGGAAACATATGAAGTTTGAGGGCACAAACATCAAAACAAACAAGCAATTAAAAATTAAAATAAGGGAGGAGCCAAGATGGCCGAATAGGAACAGCTCAAGTCTACAGCTCCCAGCATGAGCGACGCAGAAGACGGGTGATGTCTGCATTTCCATCTGCAGTACCGTGTTCATCTCACTAGGGAGTGCCAGACAGTGGGCGCAGGACAGTGGGTGCAGTGCACGATGCATGAGCCAAAGCAGGGCGAGGCATTGCCTCACTCGGGAAGCGCAAGGGGTCAGGGAGTTCCCTTTCCTAGTCAAAGAAAGGGGTGACAGATGGTACCTGGAAAATCGGGTCACTCCCACCTCAATACTGTGCTTTTCCGACGGGCTTAAAAAACGGCGCACCAGGAGATTATATCCCACACCTGGCTCGGAGGGTCCTACGCCCACGGAGTCTTGCTGATTGCTAGCACAGCAGTCTGAGATCAAACTGCAAGGCAGCAGTGAGGCTGGGGGAGGGGCGCCCGCCATTGCCCAGGCTTGCTTAGGTAAACAAAGCAGTTGGGAAGCTCAAACTGGGTGGAGCCCACCACAGCTCAAGAAGGCCTGCCTGCCTCTGTAGGCTCCACCTCTGGGGGCAGGGCACAGACAAACAAAAAGACAGCAGTAACCTCTGCAAACTTAAATGTCCCTGTCTGACAGCTTTGAAAAGAGCAGTGGTTCTCCCAGCACGCAGCTGGAGATCTGAGAACGGGGAGACTGCCTCCTCAAGTGGGTCCCTGACCCCTGACCCCCGAGCAGTCTAACTGGGAGGCACCCCCCAGTAGGGGCAGACTGACACCTCACATGGCTGGGAACTCCTCTGAGACAAAACTTCCAGAGGAACGATCAGACAGCAGCATTCGCGGTTCACGAAAATCAGCTGTTCTGCAGACACCGCTGCTGATACCCAGGCAAACAGGGTCTGGAGTGGACCTCTAGCAAACTCCAACAGACCTGCAGCTGAGGGTCCTGTCTGTTAGAAGGAAAACTAACAAACAGAAAGGACATCCACACCAAAAACCCATCTGTACATCACCATCATCAAAGACCAAAAGCCGACAAAACCACAAAGATGGGGAAAAAACAGCAGAAAAACTGGAAACTCTAAAAAGCAGAGCGCCTCTCCTCCTCCAAAGAAACGCAGTTCCTCACCAGCAATGGAACAAAGCTGGACAGAGAATGACTTTGACGAGTTGAGAGAAGAAGGCTTCAGACAATCAAACTACTCCGAGCTACAGGAGGAAAGTCAAACCAAAGGCAAAGAAGTTGAAAACTTTGAAAAAAATTTAGACGAATGTATAACTAGAATAACCAATACAGAGAAGAGCTTAAAGGAGCTGATGGAGCTGAAAGCCAAGGCTCGAGAACTACGTGACGAACGCAGAAGCCTCAGGAGCTGATGCGATCAACTGGAAGAAAGGGTATCAGTGATGGAAGATGAAATGAATGAAATGAAGCAAGAAGGGAAGTTTAGAGAAAAAAGAATAAAAAGAAACAAACAAAGCGTCCAAGAAATATGGGACTATGTGAAAAGACCAAATCTATGTCTGACTGGTGTACCTGAAAGTGACGGGGAGAATGGAACCAAGTTGGAAAACACTCTGCAGGATATTATCCAGGAGAACTTCCCCAATCTAGCAAGGCAGGCCAACATTCAGATTCAGGAAATACAGAGGACGCCACAGAGATACTCCTCGAGAAGAGCAACTCTAAGACACATAATTGTCAGATTCACTAAAGTTGAAATGAAGGAAAAAATGTTAAGGGCAGCCAGAGAGAAAGGACGGGTTACCCACAAAGGGAAACCCATCAGACTAACAGCGGATCTGTCAGCAGAAACTCTACAAGCCAGAAGAGAGTGGGGGCCAATATTCAACACTCTTAAAGAATTTTCAACCCAGAATTTCATATCCAGCCAAACTAAGCTTCATAAGCGAAGGAGAAATAAAATACTTTACAGACAAGCAAATGCTGAGAGATTTTGTCACCACCAGGCCTGCCCTAAAAGAGCTCCTGAAGGAAGCGCTAAACATGGAAAGGAACAACTGATACCAGCCGCCACAAAATCATGCCAAAATGTAAAGACCATCGAGACTAGGAAGAAACTACATCAACTAACGAGCAAAATAACCAGCTAACATCATAATGACAGGTTCAAATTCACACATAACAATATTAACTTTAAATGTAAATGGACTAAATGCTCCAATTAAAAGACACAGACTGGCAAATTGGATAAAGAGTCAAGACCCATCAGTGTGCTGTATTCAGGAAACCCATCTCACATGCAGAGACACACATAGGCTCAAAATAAAAGAATGGAGGAAGATCTACCAAGCAAATGGAAAACAAAAAAAGGCAGGGGTTGAAATCTCAGTCTCTGATGAAACAGACTTTAAACCAACACAGATCAAAAGAGACAAAGAAGGCCATTACATAATGGTAAAGGGATCAATTCAACAAGAAGAGCTAACTATCCTAAATATATATGCACCCAATACAGGAGCACCCAGACTCATAAAGCAAGTCCTGAGTGACCAACAAAGAGACTTAGACTCCCACACAATAGTAATGGGAGACTTTAACACCCCACTGTCAACATTAGGCAGATCAACGAGACAGAAAGTCAACAAGGATACCCAGGAATTGAACTCGGCTCTGCACCAGGCGGACCTAATAGACATCTACGGAACTCTCCACCCCAAATCAACAGAATATACATTTTTTTCAGCACCACACCACACCTATTCCAAAATTGACCACATAGTTGGAAGTAAAGCTCTCCTCAGCAAATGTAAAAGAACAGAAATTATAACAAACTGTCTCTCAGACCACAGGGCAATCAAACTAGAACTCAGGATTAAGAAACTCACTCAAAACCGCTCAACTACATGGAAACTGAACAA
The DNA here is from genome assembly GCF_000001405.40 of Homo sapiens. NCBI lineage: Eukaryota > Metazoa > Chordata > Mammalia > Primates > Hominidae > Homo > Homo sapiens. The sequence goes on along the minus strand of NC_000013.11, from coordinate 75,730,909 downwards.
CCTGCTCCTGAATGACTACTGGGTACATAACGAAATGAAGGCAGAAATAAAGATGTTCTTTGAAACCAACGAGAACAAAGACACAACATACCAGAATCTCTGAGACACATTCAAAGCAGTGTGTAGAGGGAAATTTATAGCACTAAATGCCCACAAGAGAAAGCAGGAAAGATCCAAAATTGACACCCTAACATCACAATTAAAAGAACTAGAAAAGCAAGAGCAAACACATTCAAAAGCTAGCAGAAGGCAAGAAATAACTAAAATCAGAGCAGAACTGAAGGAAATAGAGACACAAAAAACCCTTCAAAAAATTAATGAATCCAGGAGCTGGTTTTTTGAAAGGATCAACAAAATTGATAGACCGCTAGCAAGACTAATAAAGGAAAAAAGAGAGAAGAATCAAATAGACGCAACAAAAAATGATAAAGGGGATATCACCACTGATCCCACAGAAATACAAACTACCATCAGAGAATACTACAAAACCCTCTACGCAAATAAACTAGAAAATCTAGAAGAAATGGATAAATTCCTGGACACATACACTCTCCCAAGACTAAACCAGGAAGAAGTTGAATCTCTGAACAGACCAATAACAGGATCTGAAGTTGTGGCAATAATTAATAGCTTACCAACCAAAAAGAGTCCAGGACCAGATGGATTCACAGCCAAATACTACCAGAGGTACAAGGAGGAACTGGTACCATTCCTTCTGAAACTATTCCAATCAACAGAAAAAGAGGGAATCCTCCCTAACTCATTTGATGAGGCCAGCATCATCCTGATACCAAAGCCTGGCAGAGACACAACCAAAAAAGAGAATTTTAGACCAATATCCTTGATGAACGTTGATGCAAAAATCCTCAATAAAATACTGGCAAACCGAATCCAGCAGCACATCAAAAAGCTTATCCACCATGATCAAGTGGGCTTCATCCCTGGGATGCAAGGCTGGTTCAATATATGCAAATCAATCAATGTAATCCAGCATATAAACAGAACCAAAGACAAAAACCACATGATTATCTCAATAGATGCAGAAAAGGCCTTTGACAAAATTCAACAACCCTTCATGCTAAAAACTCTCAATAAATTAGGTATTGATGGGACATATCTCAAAATAATAAGAGCTATCTATGACAAACCCACAGACAATATCATAATGAATGGGCAAAAACTGGAAGCATTCCCTTTGAAAACTGGCAGAAGACAGGGATGACCTCTCTCACCACTCCTATTCAACATAGTGTTGGAAGTTCTGGCCAGGGCAATTAGGCAGGAGAAGGAAATAAAGGGTATTCAATTAGGAAAAGAGGAAGTCAAATTGTCCCTGTTTGCAGATGACATGATTGTATATTTAGAAAACCCCATCATCTCAGCCCAAAATCTCCTTAAGCTGATAAGCAACTTCAGCAAAGTCTCAGGATACAAAATCAATGTGCAAAAATCACAAGCATTCTTATACACCAATAACAGACAAACAGAGAGCCAAATCATGAGTGAACTCCCATTCACAATTGCTTCAAAGAGAATAAAATACCTAGGAATCCAACTTACAAGGGATGTGAAGGACCTCTTCAAGGAGAACTACAAACCACTGCTCAATGAAATAAAAGAGGATACAAACAAATGGAAGAACATTCCATGCTCATGGATAGGAAGAATCAATATCGTGAAAATGGCCATACTGCCCAAGGTAATTTATAGATTCAATGCCATCCCCATCAAGCTACCAATGACTTTCTTCACAGAATTGGAAAAAACTACTTTAAAGTTCATATGGAACCAAAAAAGAGCCCGCATCACCAAGTCAATCCTAAGCCAAAAGAACAAAGCTGGAGGCATCACGCTACCTGACCTCAAACTATACTACAAGGCTATAGTAACTCAAAACAGCATGGTACTGCTACCAAAACAGAGATATAGACCAATGGAACAGAACAGAGCCCTGAGAAATAATGCTGCATATCTACAACTATCTGATCTTTGACAAACCTGAGAAAAACAAGCAATGGGGAAAGGATTCCCTATTTAATAAATGGTGCTGGGAAAACTGGCTAGCCATATGTAGAAAGCTGAAACTGGATCCCTTCCTTACACCTTATACAAAAATTAATTCAAGATGGATTAAAGACTTAAACGTTAGACCTAAAACCATAAAAACCCTAGAAGAAAACCTAGGCATTACCATTCAGGATATAGGCATGGGCAAGGACTTCATGTCTAAAACACAAAAAGCAATGGCAACAAAAGCCAAAATTGACAAATGGGATCTAATTAAACTAAAGAGCTTCTGCACAGCAAAAGAAACTACCATCAGAGTGAACAGGCAACCTACAAAATGGGAGAAAATTTTCACAACCTACTCATCTGACAAAGGGCTAATATCCAGAATCTACAATGAACTCAAACAAATTTACAAGAAAAAAAACAAACAACCCCATCAAAAAGTGGGCGAAGGACATGGACAGACACTTCTCAAAAGAAGACATTTATGCAGCCAAAAGACACATGAAAAAATACTCATCATCACTGGCCATCACAGAAATGCAAATCAAAACCACAATGAGATACCACCTCACACCAGTTAGAATGGCAATCATTAAAAAGTCAGGAAACAACAGGTGCTGGAGAAGATGTGGAGAAATAGGAACACTTTTACACTGTTGGTGGGACTGTAAACTAGTTCATCCATTGTGGAAGTCAGTGTGGCGATTCCTCAGGGATCTAGAACGAGAAATACCATTTGACCCAGCAATCCCATTACTGGGTATATACCCAAAGGATTATAAATCATGCTGCTATAAAGACACATGCACATGTGTTTATTGCGGCACTATTCACAACAGCAAAGACTTGGAACCAACCCAAATGTCCAACAATGATAGACTGGATTAAGAAAATGTGGCACATATACACCAGGGAATACTATGCAGCCATAAAAAATGATGCGTTCATGTCCTTTGTAGGGACATGGATGAAACTGGAAACCATCATTCTCAGTAAACTATCGCAAGGACAAAAAACCAAACACCGCATGTTCTCACTCAAAGGTGGGAATTGAACAATGAGAACACATGGACACAGGAAGGGGAACATCACACTCTGGGGACTGTTGTGGGGTTGGGGGAGGGGGGAGGGATAGCATTAGGAGATATACCTAATGCTAAATGACGAGTTAATGGGTGCAGCACACCAGCATGGCACATGTATACATATGTAACTAACCTGCACGTTGTGCACATGTACCCTAAAACTTAAAGTATAATAATAATAAAAAAAGAGAAAAAAGCAAAGTATAGGCAATACATGTGCTACCATTTATCTAAAATTATATATACATAAGTACATATTATATGTTTATTTGTAAATTAAATTTTTCTGAAATGATACAGGAGAAAATAGGAAACATGGATCTGAGGTAGAAGGTATTCGTACTTTGTATATATTTTGATGTTGAAATTTTCTACTATATACATGCATTTTTCATTTTTAAAATTAGCAATTTAGTTTAGAAATTAGTAACCACTAAAACACAAGTATGTCATCTATATCATTTGTGCCATTTAAATATACATCTAGTTTTTCTTATTAAATAAATAAATAAATAAATAAAAGCCTCCAGGCAAAAGGGAAACAGAGAAAGGAACTGCAGATAAAAGGAGGACATCACCAAACACACTTTGCTTCAGCAAAAAAACCATAACCTAATTTCAGTGGTAATTGCAGATACAAAAATCTGCCTATGCCCACCTCTTTACATTTCAAAGACAAATAAATTTAGTTGTGAAGATAATTTACTACTTACCAATCCTGCTATTGGTGTAGACAGTCTATTGATCTTCTTAATGACGCCAGGTTTAAGCTTATTAATCAAACTGAAAGTAAATAAATAACAGATGCAATTACAAGATGCCAATATCAGGTTTTTTGTTAGCATTCTCAAAAATCACATATATCACTATTCCCTCCCCTCAATGTGTTATACAGAGAGCCAACAGCCCATCAAAAAGCAAATAACCAAGATATCAAGTCTAGAGACAAAGAAGAGCACCACACACAATGGTGAGTTGTTCTCCATAGTCTATATCCTTTATGTGGAGACACAGACCCACTTCTATATCCAAAGCCATCCTTCAAAGAGTTAGTTTCACATTAAAGAAAAGTAATATTTCGTTCTGCTTCAACTGCCAGTTTAAGAATCTCTTCATCATAATTTATCTCACTTCACCCAAAGAATACTATTTTCTACTAATAGTTTTCATTGATTGTTTTTCTCAAACTGATCATTTTTAAAGGTAGCTTCAAAATCATATTATTTTGCCACATTTAAAAGGTGAGCTGGACTCATACAAATAGTGAACTAGTTTTTATTGGTAACTCATTCAAGTCCATAATTGATTGCTTTATTACCGCAGCAGAACGACTGGGCAAACATTAAATTCAATGTACCAGAACTCCCCCAAATTAACTAAGTTACCTCAGAATCTAGTATTTTAGATTAAACAGAACCAGTTTAAGTTAATATGGAAGACACTGCAAAGATATCTATGTCTGCCAACTCTATAAAAAAGAAACTCAGCTTTGACAACTGAAACTTGAGTACGATTTTGCTTCTAAATCTAGATTATTATGAATTCTTTTTTCTTGATTTGTTCACTGACACTGTGCCAGGTTGCGTAGAAATTTAATACTATAAAAATGCTTTTCTATTAATGTTAGCTTGGTTAATTAATCATTAATCACTGTCAGAGAACAATATCTTGAAACTAATTTTCCTATTCAAAAACCCATCCACAAGAACTAATTTTTTAGGCTGTAACAGAGCTCCAAAAAGAAAGCAAATAAAGGAGAAATCATTAAACATTCTTAATTTACTGGTCTCCTTAGCACAATGGGCAGCAAAAAAAAAAAAAAATCTGAAGCCTGTGGAATGTCACTCCTTCAACATTCCAAAGACTTATATATACACACTTGAGTTTGCTGGAAATAAAAAAAGACAAAAGTCTTGATTTAATAACCTACAGAATGTTGTTCAACAGGATTCAAAATTATAAAACAGTGGCTTATGAAGATCTAGTTTGGTGAACAAAGATGTTTTCCTGTTTTCATGGTTTCTACACACAAAGATCATTAGACAAGTTAGTTAATATAGTTAATAATACCATTCTCTCAACGCAATTTCCTAGAACAATTATTCCATGATACCTAATTTCTGATTTGTACACAGAAAGCCAAGTAGAAAGCAAAGCTTTCTCCCTTCATGTCCACATGATTTTTTTCTTAATCACTAGCTGAGGAGTCAGAAAAGAATTGAGTAAGTTTATAAGAAATAACAATTGCAAATTAATTCTTCTAGTTGTTCCCTATTAACAAGGTATTTCTATATTTCTGTTACTGGTGGCATTCTTGCAATGCATAGAAGAACTAGTAACTGTAGCATTACTGAATAGGAACATAATTCTGGAAAGTATAAATCAAGAAATTATTTGCAGTTTGTGAGCACTAGCTCAGCACTGACTTATAGTAACGTGTATTTTGAAATTTGATCTTTAAATGACATAAATTAGAGGCCATTATGAGCTGAGGCAACATATAAAATGTCAGGAAAGTCTGGCAGGAGGAAGAGTATCATAAATTTCTGCTCCACCTATTTGAGTCACTGGTGACTTTGGCCAGGTCATTCAGTTAACCTGTTTATATCACATACCATTTTTATATTACAGGTTTCATAAGAGAAAGTACATTTAAAAAAAATACAGTTTCTGGAATTAATAATAGCACAACCTACTCTCAATTTGGTCAGCCAAGGGAAGTAAGAGATACAGGTAAAGGAAATAGAAAAGATAAATGATGTCTCCCAATAATGAGTTAATTAACACTTCCCTCATCAGAAGGTTCAAAGCTATTACTTAGAAGTGACAGACACACAATGGATTAGCATTCCTTTTCCACCCTAAACCTTCAAGTACATGTGCAAACACGGAAATGAGCTGAGGAAAAAACAATAATCTGAATAACACACAAAGTAGCCTCTAAAAAATTGAGTCACTAAAGGAAAACTCTGTTTTATTTTGTTAGTAGTCACAATTCTAAGGACTACAAGACGGAGAAAAGACACATATAGTCTTGGCAAATACTGAACACCCATTAAATTTTGAATCATCAAAAATTATTTTCATATAAAATTAAAGGAAACCCTTTTAGAATAGTTCTTCTAAGGAGAAAAACAATGGGTCTTATAAAATCTAAACTTCTGTGAAATTTAAGTCTGCCTAGAGGATTAGGGGCATAGCCTTATGTCAAATCAAAAACAAGTATCATCTATGGAAATACTCTTCTACAAATAGAACTTCTTTGCATAATAAGCAATCTTCAATCACACATATGGAATTCCTAAGGTAACACTGGCTTCAGGTAACTGATTCTATTCAAGATTCAGATAACATAATAACCTTCCAGATACCTCTATGTACTAGGATCTAGAATCAGTCAAGGAGCCATTTTTTCAGCCTGTATTCCCTTGTTCCATCCCTCTAGCCCTAGGTAGAATTCTCTCTCTCTTCCCCCAAGACTTTCCCTAGGCCAGAGCCTAAACCTGGTTATGTGCTTGGTTAGTACAGCAGAGGCTTGCTCTTTTGGTAGGATTAAAACCAGAAGGAAGCACCTAGTAATCTGACAGTTCCCAAGTCAGAGCATTCACAGTTTTGGCCTGCAATTTCTCTCCTTCTCCTTCAGCTCATCCCTTGCTAGGATCTGAATGTTGGAATTCCTCCCAAACCTCATACTTTGAAATCCTAACCCTGAAAGTAACAGTACTAGGAGGTGGAGCCCCTGGAAGGTGATTAGGTCATGAGAGTAGAACCCTCATGAATGGGATTAGGTCCCTCATAAAAGAGGCTCCTGAAAGCTGCCTTGCCCCTTCCACAACAAGAGGTTGCAGTGAGAAGTCTGTCTATGAAGGAAGCAGGTCCTCACTATATGCCAAATATGCCAGTGCCATGATCTTGAACTTCCCAGCCTCCAGAACTGTGATAAATCAATTTCTATTGTTTATAAACTACCTAATTTATGGTATCTTGATATAGCAGCAGCCCAAACAGACTAAGACATCTCTCAAGTTGCCTCCTTCCTTTTCTTCTCACTCCCCTCCCTTACTTTCAAATTGTCCGCTCCCTTCAAAGGAGTTGCACAATGACAGATACTAGAGAGCTGGCTCTGTTCAAAAGCCTTGTCAGTGAATATAACCCACTTTAAATATAACTCAATTCAGAAAACTGTATATAAAGCTCAATATAATGTCTGGCTCAGTTATAAAAGCTTTAGTGAGAACAGAATTTGATGCTCTATTTCTAATAGTGTCCAGAAGCTAGTTCTAAATGCCAAATCTCATTTTTCCCTTTATCAGAAAGCTTTTCAGCTGAGGTACAAAATTTATGGACACCTTTTGAGCTCCTATTTCCAAAGATTTTCACAATGAACAAGGAAGATGACATTGAACAACATATCAATACACTGAATGAACTTTTTAACCTGTGATTTATTAGTCATTCACACATGAATATTTCTAATATCTTTCTGTCACATACATTTTCTAAATATACATCCTCACATTATCAAACTTCTATTAGTAACTAAAGTTTTAAAGATATAATAAAGGCATTATATTTTGTTCACAAATTAAAGAGCAATGATGATTTTGGGTTTTTTTTTAATCTTTTATTTTTTTATTTCAGTGGATTTCTGGGGAACAGGTGGTGTTTGGTTAGTTTGGTTACATGAATGAGTTCTTTAGTAGTGATTTCTAAGATTTTGGTGCACTCATCACTTGAGGAGTATCCACTGCACGCAATATGTAGTCTTTTATCCCTCAACACTCCCCACTCTTTCCCCCGAGTCCCCAAAGTCCAATGTATCATTCTTACGCCTTTGCATCCTCATAGCTTAGCTCCCACTTATGAGTGAGAACATATAATATTTGGTTTTTCATTCCTGAGTTACTTCACTTAGAATAATGATCTCCCATTCTGTCCAGGTTGCTGCAAATGCCATTTCGTTCCTTTTTATGGCTGAGTAGTATTCCATGGTATATGCATATATACACCACATTTTCTTTATCCACTCATTGATTGATGGGCATTTGGGCTGGTTCCATATTCTTGCAAGTGCAAATTGCGCTGCTATAAACATGGGTGTGCAAGTATCTTTTTCATATAATGACTTATTTTCCTCTGGTAGATACCTAGTAATGGCAGATCTTTAAGGAATCTCCACACTGTTTTCCACAGTGGCTGTACTAGTTTACATTCCCACCAGCAGTGTAAAACTGTTCCCTTTTCACTGCATCCACACCAACAACTATTTTTTTTTTAATTTTTTGATTATGGTCACTCTTGCAGGAGTGAGGTGGTATTACACTGTGGTTTTGATTTGCATTTCCCTGATTATTAGCGATGCTGTACATTTTTCCATATGCTTTTTGGCCATTTGTATATCTTCTTTTGAGAATTGTCTATTTATGTCCTTAGCCCACTTTTGATGGGATTGTTTTTTTCTTGATTTGTTTGAGTTCCCTGTAGATTACAGATATCAGTCCTTTGTCAGATGTATAGATTGCAAAGATTTTCTCCCACTCTGTGGGTTGTCTGTTTACTCTGCTGATTATTTCTTTTGCTGTGCAGAAGTTTTTTAATTTAATTAAGTCCCATCTATTTATCTTTGTTGGATTTGCTTTTGGGTTCTTGGTCATGAAGTCTTTGCCTAAGCCAATGTCTAGAAGGGCTTTTTCAATGTTATCTTCCAGAATCTTTATGGTCTCAGGTCTTAGATTTAAGTCTTTGATCCATCTTTAGTTGACTTTTGTATAAGGTGAGAGATGAGGATCCAGTTTCATTCTTCTACATGTGGCTTGCCAATTATCCCAACACCATTTGTTGAATAGGGTGTCCTTTCCCCACTTTATGTTTTTGTTTGCTTTGTGGAAGAGCAGTTGGCTGTAAATACTTGGCTTTATTTCTGGGTTCTTTATTCTGTTCTATTGGTCTATGTGCCTATTTTAAACAATGATTTTTGTTTAAACAATGACTTATCAAAATAAGTCATTATATGAAAAAGATACTTGCACACCCATGTTTATAGCAGTGCAATTTGCACTTGCAAGAATGTGGAACCAGCCCAAATGCCCATCAATCAATGAGTGGATAAAGAAAATGTGGTGTATATATGCATATACCATGGAATACTACTCAGCCATAAAAAGGAATGAAATGGCATTTGCAGCAACCTGGACAGAATGGGAGATCATTAATTCTAAGTGAAGTAACTCAGGAATGAAAAACCAATTTTGTTAAACAAAACAATGTTTTGTTTAAAACAAAATTTGCTTACTTTTCCTCTAAACACAAATTCTGCTCATTAAGCATTTTAATGTGTACTAAATATGGCAATGTGCTGGGATCAGCAGCAGAGCAATCAGACGGTCCAGCTACCAGAGGCACAGACAACCCTCTCCCTCTCCAAACAGCATCGCCTAGCACTTAGCAAAAAAAACCTGGCATTTCATAGGTGCTTTACAGATATTTATTAAAATCCACTGCCCAGTTTTTAATGCAGAAATATTTCTGTGAAATATCAAACAAATTCTTCAAAATCTCTATCTTCTTTATAAAGAAATTTTTAAACATTTTACCTCTGCTTTCAAATGCTAGAAATTGCTTTTTGCTCTTACCAACAACACTCCTCCCTAGTATTTTTTTGTTGCCAGAAAAGTCAAACCTTGATATTCTCTACTTATTGTCAATGTTGATCAAAAGAGTAAACTATCAGATACATTAACTTGGACTGGTTATCTTAATTAAGTAAATGCCTTACTAAAATTTTAAATTAATAACTTTTATTTAAATTCATAAGCTGCAATATTTTAAAATAAGTAATCACATGTCCATGAGTAAAATAACCAGTATATATAATTTAAAAGTCTAAAAGCATTCAATATAAATATTTATGATAACTTTAATATTTTCAAAGATTGCTAGTAAAATTGATGTTAATTTCTAGAATTTCTATGGTAGTAATTTTGAATACTGCTGAATTACCTACAACACACAGTAAAAGTTAACAGTAAATGCTAAGATGGGAAAGTGTGTGCAACAGCAACGTCAGTACCAATGTAATTTATAGTCATCACTTTCTTATGATGGAACTTTATTATATAGCCTCACTGTTGTGCTTGAAGCATCCTGAAGTAAGTCTAGCAAAGCTTGAATAGTCTCAGGGCAGATACCTCTTATTCTGAGACCCTCAATAATTATAGCACTAATGGATTTCACTGAGTAGTAGAAAATTTCCCAATGTCACATCAAAGGCAAACGGCATTTAGACACAGACCTTACACCCTTCTCAACAATGAACTCAAAGTGGATCACAGACCTAAATATAAAACCAAAAACTATTAAAACTCCTAGAAGAAAACACAGGGGGAAGTCTAGAGACTTTAGGTTTGACAATGACTTTTTAGACAAGACACAAAAAGCACAATTCGTAAAAGAAATAATTGACACACTGGACTTCATTAAAATTAAAAATATCTGCTTTGTGAAAGACACTGTCAAGGGAATAAAAAGACAAGCCACAGACTGAGAGAAAATATTTGTAAAAGACATATCTGAAAAAGGACTCTTATCTAAAATATACAAGGAACTCTTAAAAAGTCAACAAAAAGAAAATCTGATTAAAAAATGGGCCAAAGACCTTAACAGACACCTCACTAAGGAAGACACACAGATGACAAATAAGGACATGAAAAGATGCTCCACATCATATGTTATCAGGGACATGTAAATTAAAATAATGAGATACCACTACACATTTATTAGAATGGTCAAAATTCAGAACACGGACGACACCAAATGCTGACAACAACGTGGAACAACAAAAACTCTCATTCTCTGCTGGTAGAAATGCAAAATGGTACAGACATTTTGAAAGAGTTTGGCAGTTTCTTACAAAACTAAATATACTCTTACCATATGATCCAGCAATCATGTTCCTTGGTATTTACCAAAAGGAGCTAAAAATTTACATTTACACAAAAAACTGCACATGGATTGTATTAGTCCATTCTCACACTGCTATTAAGAACTACCTGAGACTAGGTAATTTATGAAGAAAAGAGGTTTAATTAACTCAAAATTCCACAGGCTTAACAGGAGGCATGACTGGGAGGCCTCAGGAAATTTACAATCGTGGCAGAAGGTGAAGGGGAAGCAAGCGGGTCCTACCGTGGCAGAGAAGGACAGACAGCAAGTGAAGGGGGAAGTGCCACACACTTTTAAAACATCAGGTCTCGTGAGAACTCACTCACTATCATGAGAACAGCATGGGGGAAATCCACCCCCATGATCTAATCACCTCCCATCAGGTCCCTCCCCCAACACTGGGAATTACAATTTGACATGAGATTTGGATGGGACACAGGGCCAAACCATATCATGGATGTTCATAGCAGTTTTATTCATAATTGCCATAACTGAGAAGCAACCGAGATGGCCTTCATTTGATGAATGAATAAACAAACTGTGGAACCTCCAGACAGTAGAACGTTATTCAGCACTAAAGAGACACGAACTGGTTGGGTGCAGTGGCTCACGCCTATAATCCCAGCACTTTTGGAGGCCAAGGCGGACAGATCACTTGAGGTCAGGAGTTCGAGACCAGCCTGGCCAACATGGTGAAACCCTGTCTCTACTAAAAATACAAAAATTAGCCAGGCGTGGTGGTGCGTGCCTGTAGTCCCAGCTACTCGAGAGGCTGAGGCAGGAGAATCGCTTGAACCCAGGAGACGGAGGTTGCAGTAAGCCGAGATCGCGCCATTGCACTCCAGCCTGGGGGACAAGAGTGAGACTCCATCTCAAAAAAAAAAAAAAAAGAGAGAGACATGAGCTATCAAACCATAAAAAGACATGGAAGTAAGTGCATATTACTCAGTGAAAGAAGCCAATCTGAAAAGGCTATGCACTGTATGAGTCCAACTATGTGACATTCTGGAAAAGCCAAAATCATAAAGACAGTAAAGATTGGTGGTTTCCAGGGATTAGAGGTAAGGGAGGGATGAATAGGAGGAGCACAGAGGATTTCTACAGCAGTGAAACAATTCTGGATGATACTATAATGATGGGTACATGTCATTACACATTTATCCAAAACCATACAACGTACAACACCAAGAATGAACCCTAATGTAAACCATGGACTCTGGGTGATGATGATGTGTCAATGTAGGTCCATCATTTGTAACCAATGTACCCCTCTGGTGGGGGACGTTGATAATGGGGGAGGCTGTGCATATGTGGGGGCATGGAAAATATGGGATCTTTCTGTACCTTCCCCTCAGTTTTTCTGTGAACCCAAAACTGTTCTTTTAAAAAGTCTTCAAAACAAAAACAACAGAAAGCAAAAGGAATCTAACGGAGGGACCTGGCTTCCTGTACTATTTAACTACGAAGTAATGTTACTAAATTCCTCTCGATCCCTCAGGTAAATAAGAGTGATATATCAGTCTCTCTCCAGGATTTCAACCCTCAACTTTAAGGCCACAATATTAAAAACCTTCTGCAAAACTTGAAATGAGTCTTTAGAGTGTCTCTACCATAACTGAAGTGAATTTTTAAGTTCATGTTTGCCAAGCTGACTTTCAACTTGACATACTCTTTCTTTGAAACAAAAAATCATGTTTTTGCTAGACACAGATATTACATCACAGGTGAAACGAACCATGATGCTTAAAAAGGCATGCAAATGCCAACCATAAAATACTGCCATTAAGTGAAAACAGATTAAAATTTTTACATTCATTTTTATGAACTTGAACCCTTACACCATTGTTTGCCTATTGCTGGGCTATCACATAACATGGAAACTGCAAAGCTTATATTACTTGAAAGTGAAGAAAAACAGTTTTCACTAAATTTCAAAAGGCTGTAAAAACAGATCAGGGTTAATAGTGTTGGCATGCTGGAGCACTGTATGTAAGCAACTGTCCTCCTCAGGAAATTCAAAACCAGAAACACCTCTAAGAAAAAAAGCCTTTCCCACTACATGAAAGCCTCTGGGCTTCCCATGGAGCACTGCATGGAAGCCCCAGGGGGCCTACCCATGTCACCGGCACTCCATGTGTGGGTGGAGATCTCCAACTCCAACAAAAAGATAGAGCTCTCTTGGCAGGAATGACAAGTGACAAAGTTCTCTATCTTACCCCGTGCCTTAAAATGATCATCTGAGTGTCCCAGAGTAAACAGTAGTATTTGTAAAAATAAAAAAATATATATTTTTCTATTGAATATGTATATATATAATCTTTAATAAATTATTACAGTATTTTTAGGCAGATACTGTTGTGGTCACATGGCTGATACAAATAGGAACACCGATAGGGGTGAATATCTTGCTCCTGTCTTTCCAAGATACAAGAAAGGAAAAAGAAGACCTGGTGACAGTGAGAGAAGAGTTGTGTTTTTTTGTTTGTGTGTTTTTTTTTTTTTTTTTTTGAGACGGAGTCTCACTCTGTTGCCCAGGCTGGAGTGCAGTGGTACCATCTCCACTCACTGCAAGCTCCGCCTCCCAGGTTCACGCCATTCTCCTGCCTCAGCCTCCCGAGTAGCTGGGACTACAGGCGCCCGCCACCACACCCGGCTAATTTTTTGTATTTTTAATAGAGACGGGGTTTCGCCATGTTAGCCAGGATGGTCTCGATCTCCTGACCTCATGATCCGCCCGCCTCGGACTCCCAAAGTGCAGGGATTACAGGCGTGAGCCACCGCGCCCGGCCGAGAAGAGTGTTCTTACTGTGAGTCATGTGTTCAAAAAGGCATAAACTTCTGATGCATAGCTGACTGTGGCAGAGACTTGGGATCATTCCAGGGATGGGAGGTACAGACTGACTAACCACTGACACACCCAATCAGACTATCGTCAAGCAAATCTTCTTTCTTCATCAGAGAAAAAAAAAAAAAAAAGAGTGTTTTCATTTGAATATTTCCAAGATTGTCATCATAAGATGAGTAACTGGGAAATTACTGATATCATTAGCTGTTTATGTCTCAACCAAATATGTTTGGAAAGGAGGAATAATTCTGCTAGAACCCAGAGCAAAATAAGATCATGGACACTGATGAAGTGATACATCTTTTATATTTTTTAAATATATATAATAAGGCAGTCCACATGAACACTAAGAAATACTGAAGAAAGAAGACAGATTAATGAACACTATTAATAAAATTCATAGCACATTATAACAAGGAACTAAAATCACCTTATAAAAACTTGTCAATCCTTTTATTAATTAGAAAAGCAAAAATATCAGACAGTGTTCCCATCTCACTGTTTAGTAAAACCAAGAGAGACTACAATCATAGACTTTCATCAAGGGAGTATTCCTTGATGAAATCCCAACTCACTAGATGCCACAGTCAAACTAAACAACACTAAAATGACTAACATGAAGATACTAATTTCAATAGTCAATCAGATTAAAAGGCAATGAACGCATATAACTATCCTCATTACTCAAATGTGTATCTTGTCTGAAACCTCAGTGCATGGTTTATCCCCACTTTAGACTATCTGAAATGTCAGTACACTTCCAATTGGGTGAAAGCTATAAGCTATTCGAACTTTTGACTTTGATATTTCAGAACACCAGTTCAAAAGGAAAGAGTACTACTAATGGATTTTTTTAAAATTGCTGAAATTACTGGATGAAATATTAAGAAAATCTTTAATGGTGGTAATGAATGAGAATGCCTAGAGGTTTCTAATAGGCAACAAGCAGAACCTGTATTTCACAAGAAATATGATTCTGGCAGTGAGCCAGATAGAAGTCAGCCTTTTCCTGTACGAAAATGAATTCAGGTTTTAAAAATATCCTAATCATATTTCACCTAAAACTTGGGATCTCTAGTGGGTAAAATATCCTCAAAGACAGATAGCTTACTATATTTACCACTAATTAAAAAGTCAGGGCTTGTAATACCAGATCTCTGAACAGCTGACTTTGTTTTCCTCTCAGGCATTATATATAACACAGGTGGATGTGGCCACAAACAGCAGTGCCTGCTTAATCATTTCAGAGTGCAACCAGCCAGGCTTTCCTCAGTTACAGGTTTCATACTAAATATGGTTATCTGGGCTTTTTATTCGTTAACACCACAGCTTTTAGATGAATGTGTCGTCATCAAACAGTGACTATGAACAACGTGATTCACAATTTAGAGAAAGATTTTTTAATAAAAATATTATGCAGGACTTTGGTGTCCCACAGTAAATTACAATTGCTGATTACCATGGCTTCAGATTTACTTAAGCTACTTTTGGGAAACATTAATTTAAAGAATACTGGGTACTAAGAGACTGATTAGACTTATGTGGCAATGCACAAAATCCAAATTAGAAAAATTCCAATTAGAAAACAATATTAGAATTAGCTTTGGAAGTCTGAGAATTAAAGTGACTTTTTAAAAAGCCAATATATCTCTAAACATTCATCCAAATGTTTGCTGTTGCCATTAAGGTAGAAATTACATATTTATTCTAACCTGTACTGCTTGTGCTCACAATAGTTTTTCATCAACTCTGAATATCCTCCTTGGTCACACTATGCAGATCTTTTCAGGCTGGGTATAGCTTTTGGAAATCACTTCTCATCATTCAGAGCCCAGGCTGGTGCATAAGTTGCATTTTAAATCAAAACCTGGTAGTCATTCTCAAACATGTTTAATGATCTATTTATGGGGTCAATGCCCCAAAAGTGGGACCCCTAAAATATTATGGGCAATAGTTCATTACTGGAAATATATAACCTACAAAATTACTTCTTTGAAAGATCATATATTCGAGATATATGCTTTTGTAAATCTAAAAAGAAACTCCGTGCTTCATAGGCACACTTCCTTGAAGGCACAAACCTACCCAATTCCTATTTAGACTTGTGGGGTGTATGGTTGATGGCTTTTTTTTTTTACTGCAAACATTTAAATAATAGCTAAAGTAGTTTGCAGGTCACATGCCTCTTTCTAATAGGCAATGTTTCCCCTCCATCTTCTAAACATTACTAGAGTACATTTAAATCATACTGTTTTCAAATTAAGATAAAGTAACTTCCCATTAGTGACCAGTTGGGCTATGTGGTCTACTTAAATTAGCTTAAACACTATTTGACTCATTGTCAAACTAATTGAAACACTATTCACATTCCAATGAATGTGACATTGGAAGACGACAAGAAACACACTTTGAACTTTATTCCTGGCCCTTATTCACATGTGTGTCCTATACATGTCACCTATACGTTAGGTGAAACCACACGAAATTGACACTTCTTTAGGTCACAAATGGTTAAATATCAGCAACTTCATATGGAACAAAATTAATAATATCACCTTAAGACAAAGAACTTTGAACACTTGCCAACAGAGCTGACAAGATAGACTGTTATTTACATGCCCATCATCTAGCAACAACTTGTATATATACAAAGTTTGATCGTTTATAAAAACCTTAAAATATATATTGTTGAACTCAGCAACTCTGTGAATTAGGCACATCAGATACCTTGATCTCTACTTTACCGATGAGAAAATAAGGCTCAAATGTTAAATCACTTGGTCAAATGTTCAAAGATGTGAGGTCACTTATTCAAAGGTCCAAAAATAATGGAGCAAGAAATCTAACCTAGGCCCTTTGACTCCAGACCTTTTGCTGCAAACAACTCCTTCAAAAGGATAATCAAAATCTCTAAGTACTAGTGTATACACTCTCACTGCTTACATGTGGACAGATAGCATAAATACCTGTGCGATAAGTGTCTAGATTGAAATAATTAAGTGCTTTCAAAAATGTGGGTGAGTACTCAAGTACATTCTTAGAATTTATTTGCTCGCTTCTGCAACCTCTACCTTCACCCAGGATTTCATCCTTATGCCTCACAGGCCTGCCTCTCCCTTATTCCCAAAGTTCATATACTTGACTAACTGTACTATGCATCCATTGGGGAACAAAATATTACACTACACATACAATGTAGGCCTTATACTATCAATCATGGTACTAGCCTATCTTACTTCTTTGTAAGCAAAGTCTGGGGTGTGGTTCTCAATGGTGTCTATTAATTGAATGAATGGTCCACAACTCAAATTGATTTTGGTAATGTAATGACTCCACTTAAAGCTTAAAGGAAAAATCTACCACTCCAATCATCATGATTTATTGATGAAGCAAAGATTTTGTGTATTAACTTCCAAACCAGGCAATTCTACCCATTAGAATATTCAGACTAAGAGATCAATGGTAACATGTCATAAGGCTTCCTTCTCAATCACCCACCCCCCACTGGCCCACCATGCAATAGAATCTTTCTTGTTTACTAATTAAAAATAATATATATTTTACCAGTGCTATCTTTAGATACAGAGACTGATAACCCCTTCTTCCTACTGTCTCGTATTGTGAGGTATCAATTTGCAGGGATCAAATCTCACCTGTGACCAAGAACACATATCTGTGACTACGGTGGCCATGGGAGGAGCCAAACACCTCATCACTCACACACACACATATCTTTGCTTTTGAATTATTTTTTAAATACTTTAAATACTTACTCACACAGCAGAACACCATTTTCTAGAGAGGCTCGAAAATCTTTTGTTTCAAAATTCTTCTCTGTTACTGCCTGAAAGATAGGTTTGGTTGTTAATTTTCTCTTAAGCAGGGATAGCACACAAGTCCAATTCAGTATTAGATTAATTAATATGCATTTAATGTTATACTTGAAGGATTTGCATATATAGACTGTTATATCCTATAATCTGTTCCTTATAGGAATATGTACTGTCTGTTTTATATTACAAAGAGATAGTTTAGCCATTTTAGTATGACAAATATATGCAGGAAAAAATTACAATGAGTGTTTTCAGTAATATAATCATTTTATTGGATGATACACAAAAGAGCTAAACTAAATTTTCAACATATTTTATATATTTTTTAAAAACCTATGGGTGATCTATTCTACTAAGAATGAATAAAAACAGTATAAGATAGAAACTCAAGATACCAACGACACTGAATACACTATCATTAATTTCAATTCCATCTTTATATTCCTCAAATTTCATTACAAAGCTAAACAGCAGAGGGCATGACACTTCTTAAACTTATTTATGAAATCGTCCTAATTGATGTAAAGAGCCATTTATTGAAACATCCTGGGGAGAAGACTATTAAATCCTGGCGCAGAGAGACAAAAGAAAGAGAGGTGAGATGGTGAATATTTTAAACAGACAATTCCCAACTTAAGGAATTACAAAGGAACAGGCACATGCAGTTACCACCACCAATAATGTTGGTGAAACCTCTAGAAAAATCTCTAGATTCTCTCTCTGAAGGGGGAGGTGGCTGGGATAGAAAAGGGGATTCCACAGGGGAAATAGTAGCAGAGAAAATGAAGGTCACAGTGGGAAAAAAGCTGCCCTAAGAACAACCCCTGGGACTGAGTCCCAGCTCAAGGGGAGGGCAGGGACCAACAGCAGTGACACCAGCTGTCCTGGAGATGCAGCCACCACGTAAAAACAGGAGTAGTCCCTGCTCCACCTGCCACTTCAGAAAGAAATACATTTCTGATATCCTGAACTGGAAAGTCACCAATCTTAAATCCCAGGTTGGCTCCAGGGCTCAACGAAGGGACCTTTACCACCATCCCCCAGCTATCCTCACTACTGCCAGCTTCACGGTCCCCCTAGAATCCCTATGTATCTTCATTCTGCATCTCTCCACAGTGCCCAACATCGCTGCAGCTAGACATGATATCTGTTAACTGACAAAATAATGGTTGTGTTTCTCAGAGGTTGGTCTATACATTTGGACAGGAGCCTGGGCCAGGAGGCAACATGCTCAAACTCAGGAAGAGGTAGATCCTTCCTATACTTGCCATTAATCTACAGAAGGGCTGCACTGCTGCTTTACTTAAACAAAGGCTGAGTGTCTGTTACAGGCATTACCTGAATGCTGGGTAGGAATTTACCGAAAGAAAAAACACGTTTTGAAGGCAGGCAGCTCTTCCATCAGGGAGCCCACAGCCTCATAAGAAAAATGTAGGGGGTGGAGCCAAGATGGCCAAATAGGAACAGCTCCAGTCTACAGCTCCCAGCGTGAGCGACGCAGAAGACGGGTGATTTCTGCATTTCCGACTGAGGTACTGGCTTCCTCTCACTGGGGAGTGGGTGCAGGACAGGGGGGGTGCAGCGCACCGAGCGTGAGCCGAAGCAGGGCGAGGCATCGTCTCGCCCAGGAAGCACAAGGGGTCCGGGAAATCCCTTTCCTAGTCAAAGACAGGGGTGACAGACGGCATTGAGTCTCTGAATAGACCAATAACAGGCTCTGAAATTGAGGCAATAATTAATAGCTTACCAACCAAAAAAAGTCCAGGACCAGATGGATTCACAGCCAAATACTACCAGAGGTACAAGGAGGAGCTGGTACCATTCCTTCTGAAACTATTCTAATCAATAGAAAAAGAGGGAGTCCTCCCTAACTCATTTTATGAGGCCAGCATCATCCTGATACCAAAGCCTGGCAGAGACACAACCAAAAAAGAGAATTTTAGACCAATATCCCTGATGAACATCAATGCAAAAATCCTCAATAAAATACTGGCAAACCGAATCCAGCAGCACATCAAGAAGCTTATCCACCATGATCAACTGGGCTTCATCCCTGGGATGCAAGGCTGGTTCAACATATGCAAATCAATAAACGTAATACAGCATATAAACAGAACCAATGACAAAAACCATATGATTATCTCAATAGATGCAGAAAAGGCCTTTGACAAAATTCAACAACGCTTCATGCTAAAAACTCTCAATAAATTAGGTATTGATGGGACGTATCTCAAAATAATAAGAGCTATCTATGACAAACCCACAGACAATATCATAATGAATGGGCAAAAACTGGAAGCATTCCCTTTAAAAACTGGCACAAGACTGGGATGCCCTCTCTCACCACTCCTATTCAACATAGTGTTGGAAGTTCTGGCCAGGGCAATCAGGCAGGAAAAGGAAATAAAGGGCATTCAATTAGGAAAAGAGGAAGTCAAATTGTCCCTGTTTGCAGATGACATGATTGTATATCTAGAAAACCCCATCATCTCAGCCCAAAATCTCCTTAAGCTGATAGGCAACTTCAGCAAAGTCTCAGGATACAAAATCAATGTGCAAAAATCACAAGCATTCCTATACACCAATAACAGACAAACAGAGAGCCAAATCATGAGTGAACTCCCATTCACAATTGCTTCAAAGAGAATAAAATACCTAGGAATCCAACTTACAAGGGATGTGAAGGACCTCTTCAAGGAGAACTACAAACCACTGCTCAATGAAATAAAAGAGGATACAAACAAATGGAAGAACATTCCATGCTCATGGATAGAAGAATCAATATCATGAAAATGGCCATACTGCCCAAGGTAATTTATAGATTCAATGCCATCCCCATCAAGCTACCAATGCCTTTCTTCACAGAATTAGAAAAAACTACTTTAAAGTTCATATGGAACCAAAAAAGGGCCTGCATTGCCAAGTCAATCCTAAGCCAAAAGAAAAAAGCTGGAGGTATCACGCTACCTGACCTCAAACTATACTACAAGGCTATAGTAACCAAAACAGCATGGTACTGCTACCAAAACAGAGATATAGACCAATGGAACAGAACAGAGCCCTCAGAAATAATGCCGCATATCTACAACTATCTGATCTTTGACAAACCTGACAAAAACAAGAAATGAGGAAAGGATTCCCTATTTAATAAATGGTGCTGGGAAAACTGGCTAGCCATATGTAGAAAGCTGAAACTGGATCCCTTCCTTACACCTTATACAAAAATTAATTCAAGAAGGATTAAAGACTTAAATGTTAGACCTAAAACCATAAAAACCCTAGAAGAAAACCTAGGCAATACCATTCAGGACATAGGCATCAGCAAGGACTTCATGTCTAAAACACCAAAAGCAATGGCAACAAAAGCCAAAATTAACAAATGGGATCTAATTAAACTAAAGAGCTTCTGCACAGCAAAAGAAACTACCATCAGAGTGAACAGGCAACCTACAGAATGGGAGAAAATTTTGCAACTTACTCATCTGACAAAGGGCTAATATCCAGAATCTACAATGAACTCAAACAAATCTACAAGAAAAAAAACAAACAGCCCCATCAAAAAGTGGGCAAAGGATATGAACAGACACTTCTCAAAAGAAGACATTTATGCAGCCAAAAGACATATGAAAAAATGCTCATCATCACTGGCCATCAGAGAAATGCAAATCAAAACCACAATGAGATACCATCTCACACCAGTTAGAATGGCAATCATTAAAAAGTCAGGAAACAACAGGTGCTGGAGAGGATATGGAGAAATAGGAACACTTTTACACTGGTGGTGGGACTGTAAACTAGTTCAACCATTGTGGAAGTCAGTGTGGTGATTCCTCAGGGATCTTGAAGTAGAAATACCATTTGACCCAGCAATCCCATTACTGGGTATATACCCAAAGGATTATAAATCATGCTGCTATAAAGACACATGCACACGTATGTTTATTGCGGCACTTTTCACAATAACAAAGACTAGGAACCAAGCCAAATGTCCAACAATCATAGACTGGATTAAGAAAGTGTGGCACATATACACCATGGAATACTATGCTGCCATAAAAAATGATGAGTTCATGTCCTTTTTAGGGACATGGATGAAGCTGGAAACCATCATTCTCAGCAAACTATCGCAAGGACAAAAAACCAAACACCGCATGTTCTCACTCATAGGTGGGAACTGAACAATGAGAACACATGGACACAGGAAGGGGAACATCACACACCGGGGCCTGTTGTGGGGTGGGGGGAGCGGGGAGGGATAGCATTAGGAGATATACCTAATGTTAAATGACGAGCTGATGGCTGCAGCACACCAACATTGCACATGTATACATATGTAACTAACCTGCACGTTGTGCACATGTACCCTAAAACTTAAAGTATAATAAATAAATAAATAAAAAAGAAAAATGTAATGTTTAAAGCACAGTTAAACATACCCAAAGAGAATGGCATATTCTTCTGAAAATAACTGAAAGGACCCTGGATTATCCCACCAACCTGTGCAAGAGAAACTCTTTTGAATTTTCCCCAAATTGTTCCAAAACAAACTCAAGGGGAGTGCAGATCTCAACTATAGAAAACGTTGTAACATGTCCTTCATCTGGAAACTCCTACGCATAGCCAAAAAGCATGAAATAGGCCCAGAAACATCCAACGCAGATGCTAAAGCCCATTCTCTCTAGTCATAGCAAAGCCCCTCAGAGCCACTGACACTTATAATCTGGCAATTCCATTCCCAAATCAATATAGATTCAAAGCAGTGATTTACAAGAAAGAAGGGCTGTGTCCTGCAGACACCGGATAGCAGTGAAGAATGACAGTCAACAGCAATGAAAGGGCCAATCAAGAGGGCAGCATGTAGCAAGTGGCAAAATGGAAAGAAAAAGAACTGAAGTCTGACCAAAGCAAGTTCAAATTCCACATTCACTACCTAATAACTGTGTGATCTTAAGCAAGTTACATAACCTCTCTGCACCCCAGTGTGCTCACCTGAAGCAGGGAAAATATCACCTGCTTATTAGTTTGTAGTGGCTGAAATGTGCAATCAAGTTCTTGAGGGTGGTTAAACAGTACATGCCAAACCTCCTTATATGCATCAACCCTGAAGTTACCACTCTGACAATACTCCAACAATTAATCCTCAGAAACACACCTCCGCATCATATAGACATGGCTGAGTTAGTTATATTTAGAATATCCTTTAATAAAGTGGGCAAAATGGAATATTCAAAGCTATTCAGAAAACCCAACTATCCATAATGGTTCATCTCCCCCAAAAAGATGATAGAAAGGCAAGATCATGTGTAGATATATGAGGGGGTCTGAAGACCCCCTCATATATCTAAATATTGATGTACTCTTGTACTTACGTACTTTCCAAAATCTAAATAATGATGATAAAAGACCAAATTCCATTTGTACAGTATTTATATATTTTTTTAAAAAAAGACAATATAAAAACTAAACAAAGGTTTTAAATAATAGCTTATATTTTGAAGACGTGGCAATCTGGCATGCCCTGTACACCACTGAAGGTAATATAAAATGTTACCACAATTCTAGAAGGTAATTTGTGGTATGTATCAGAAGTCTTAAATATGCATATTCTCCTAGGTGCAGGATCTAGGAATTTATACTAGGACAACAGGACAGGCACACAGAACAGAATTGTTTCATGGCGTTCTGTAGAATAAATAGCAACAATTACAAATAACCTGAATGCCCAGCAATAAGAACTTGATTATATTATGATATAGCCATAAAACAGAAAATGACATGAAATTGAAATTCATGTCATAAAAGTGGATTTATTACTTGTAAAGAATATTATTTAAAAAGCAATTTATGAAAAATTGGGAAAGTTTATGAAAAATTGGGAGTATAATCCCAATTTCTATAACTCTATAAGAATGTATCATAAGTAAACATGGAATAAATATACTAACAGTAATTATTCCTAAGTTGTAGAATTACACTTATTTTTAATGTTATCTTTTGTTTATATTCTTTAAAGACTACAGGTGTTTATATATAAATTTATAAATAAATTTATTAATATAAAAGAACAACATTCAGAAGAAGCCAAAACCAATCAGATTTAGGTCAATTTACTAAATCTCCCATACCTAAAGGAACAAAGAATAGAAGAGGCTGACACCAGTTTTTGTCCTAGGTAATTTTTCTTATTATCTATGCAATCCACACAATCTTAAATTTAATAATCCTTATTATTATCTCCATTTCACTAGTATGAAATTCGAGGCTCAGAACGTTTAACTTTCTAGAAAGTTACAAAACCTCCCACATGAAACAGACACCAAAAACCAACAGCATTTTATAAGTACTCAGTAAAAGAGTAACTCAACTACATTAGACTCTAAAGTATTTTTAGGCTACAAAAATTAAATTATCTTCAATCTATTTAGATATTTTAAAATTAGGGTATTTTACAACATAATACAGCTTCAAAAATAATCCTCCTCTGTTAAGGGTATAGAAGGTAGATCAGTAAATAAAAATGTTCAGTTAATCTTTTCATCCAATTTTCCTGGATAAAAAGATGTGTTAACACATAATGACTGTGTGTGTGCATGGGTGTAGGTGTGAGAGACAGAGGAAGATAATAAAAATATAATACTCTAAATTTCAGTATAAGATAAGTTCTCTTTAAATGTTTTAACAGTTCTGTGGGCATTTTCACAAGCATTATAAAACATTTGTACTGCACATACTAGCTACTCCAACCTCAATAACTCGAAAAATCTGATTTTTTAATTAGCAACTCTTATACCATATAATTGTAAACTCACCTAAGACTCCCCCTAAAATAAAACAAAAATTTTTTATGAGTTTAAAACCAAAAAAAGAAAGCACAATTTTATAGCAGGACTATTAGGTCTACAGAGGCTGCCTCAGCTACTTACCTTAAGGTCACAACATGATGTCAATGGTGGCCTGTTGAGGCCAAGTAGGGGCACTGGAATTAGGATGCCTGGGTTTAAAGCCCTGCTCTGCCACTTTCTACCTGCAATTCTGAACAAGCTACATAACATCTTAGTTATCCCATTTGTGAAATGGAGATTAAATGTACCCATCTCAAAGGGTTATGGTGAGAATTAAATGAGATAATATGCATGAAACACTTAGCACTTGCCTGACCCAAGACAAGCACTCACAAATGCTAGCTGTTATTATTACCTGTTACTATCCATCTGTAGAATGAAAGTAAGAAGCTGCATCTTAGCAGATAAATGTCTGTTTTGCCAGATGCAACATCCTTTATTTAAAGGAAGAAACTGAGTTATTAAATTACTTTCTGTCTTCTGACAACATTGCAAAAGTTATAAATCTACAAACCATCTCAAAACATAGTGAAAGTAGGTTGTTTAAAAATAAGAATAAATCACACTTTAAATGTGAACTCATTCTTATGTTGAGAATTCAGTATTCTGAAAGAAATTACAGTATTTTAAAAGAACTGTTTAGTAGTTCTAATCTAACAATTACTCATTCAGTTTTTCTATAATTTTGAACCTTACTCATTAGCAAGTTATTTAAGGTGTGACACATTTCACGTAATGCTGTTGTGATTCATAGGAACCACATAAATAGAGACCACATGTTTCCCACTTAAGTTATCAAAAGTCAACACAAACAGGAGTGATGACTATGTAGTCAAACAGCCACACCCTGCCTTGTATACAATTTTTTCTTCTCTTTCTTGTTTGCCCCTTTCCTTATTTTCCTAAGGCAGTTAAATAAAATCATCCCCACCTAAAATAATCTGAAGAGATACACATCAGGAGAGAATACCTCAGGTTTAATCCTGGACCTATCTCACATGATACACTTTTAAATCACCACTCAGTCCCTTAATTTTAAAAGGGAAATTAATATTTGCCCTATCTACTTCATAGTACACAAGTGACTTGTGAAGGCATTTCGACTCCTCTGGGAAAAAAGCCTACATATCCCAGTGTAGGCTCGTGCTTCCAGCCATCCTGTGGCAAAGAAGCTAGGAAGCGACTGCGCCAAGTGTGAGGCCCTTGGGGCTTCCTCTGAGGTTGTAATTAGCCTACCCGAGCATATGAAGGGCGGAGCGGCCTCCCGAGGGCATATTCCGCACCAACACCTCTGCCAAACCTGTCTTACCACCTGTGGCCTCCGAAGAAGCCCTTGATAGGAAGTTATTAAAAAACAGGTTCTGTAGAAGAAAATATCTATCAGATAAATATTAAGGCAATAATTGCCAAGTATATAAATTTCAAAAAACCCCATTTCTTTAGCTATGAGGTGTATTCATTTCATAAGCAAATGGGAATTATCTTCACACCCTTTACTGTTTTGGTCATGGTTTTATTTTAATCCTCTTGCTGGATAAGATTTCTTGCCAATGTAAACAACAAGTTTCTCTGAAGCTCTATCGCTCAGTTCCAGTTCTGATCGCATAATCCACATGACTTAAATCCCAAACATTCTGGGAGCTTCTTGAAGACCACTTCATACCAGACTGGTTATCAGCAAAATGCCCACTAATGCGAGTCAGCAGGCACTTCTCTCGTTTAACTTTTTCAATTTCTTTTAAGCAGCCATTTAAAAGGTGCCTAGAATCCCAAAAGCACTCTCCACCATATTTGTGTGCAAACCCCTGTGCAAAAAGAAAAACATTGTTTGAGCTTGTATTCAAAGCTGGGGAGAGGGGTTTGCTGACAAACATTAGGCTGTGAGCTTCAACTGGGCTCACAGTTGATTCCAAATTAAGTTACTTACTAATTGACAGATCAGCTACTAGGTCATGATACTTAAGATACAAACCATCATCACACCAATCATTTCAACATTAGTAATGAGAAACAAAAATATCCCAACAAACATTTACGTTAGAAACCACTGTGGTACAGACGAACCACATCATGAAACAATTCCCAAGAGCCATGTTTGCCATAATTTTTCATTCAGGGAGATAACTAAGTGTTCACGTATCATGACCTTATAATGAGATAGTACAGGGCATTTTTCCGCAGGGAGAAGCCCCAGGCTGGTATACAGGAGGAGCTGGATGCCTTCTCTAAAGCTGTCAATCAATTAAAAACACCCTTCTTTACTCCGTTCATTAAACTTCATTGTCGAAACAACCATTATATGATCTCCATGACTCCACAAAACACATCAAATTTTTATAATAAATTCCATAAGATGTCCACATCATTATTTATGATGCAACATCTTTGACAGATCTCATTGGTTACAAATACCAAAAACTTACAAATGCAAGGATTATGGCTTACCATAAACACATTAGGTAAAAACAGAACATAATTTAAATGGAATAAATATCTCCTACCTCTTTCCTGTCCCTGAATAGAATGATTGAAAAAGTCATTCATGATGTCAGAGAAGCCAGTTCTTCACAAAAGGATGGGTTTTGCACTTTTTAAACTGTCCTCACAGTGCACACACACACACACACACACACACAAAGAACCTGAAGTCAGAGAAGCTGAGATGGAAGTACCAGACTCCTTGGATAATGAAGACTGTCTCCTAACTTCTCAAGGCCTCAGCTATAAAACAGGAACCCGAGTTATGTCAGCCAACACTCACTTACACTGTCTGCTTTGGGCCTGAATCTTTGTAGCAACCCTATGTGGTAGCATCTCTTACCCCTGGTTTACACATGAGGAAATTGAGCTACAACAAGGTTACTGGACTTGAGACCTAGACCAGTAGGTAGTTCTCTATATATCAGCGCATTGAGCATCAAATGAGAGTGTCTGTGAAAGCACTCAGGGAACTCTAAACTGTAATTAGTGACTTACCTCCTATTCCCCCAGTCATTCCAGTCTACACTGCATACTCCCAAGAGCAGGAGGCTCTTACCCAACTTCTCACTGGCTGAAATACAGCTTACACACCCTCATCACTTTTAAATCAAATTATTCTTCCTATAAATAGTTGCTATTTACTAATTTATAGGAATAAAAAACAAACAAACAAAAAGACCAAACAGATGATTAAATTTCAGGTGTGTGTTGGGGGGGATGAGGGAGTTGGTTGTGTTTTGGAGGAAGAGCCTTCCTCAGTTCTTGACATCACTTTATTAAAGTAGCCTTCTACTGCACAGGAGAAAACCCATCCTAGTTTTGTCAGTAGCTCAAGAATAAAAACATACAAGAGTACATGAAAGTATATCACTCTAGTGATACTTTTTGAAAGACTATATGGTTGGATGAAACCTTCAAAGTTGAAAGCTTGTCACCACTATTAATTTGCTACATGAAAATCTTTCCAGGTTAAAGAATATGTTAGAGTTTAACTTTTCATTTAAATAATCTGTCTTAATTTTAACTAAGATACAAAGAAAGCATTCATTTATTCATTCATTCAAAAATTATTTAATGACAACCTGCTATATACATACCTGACATGGTGCACAGCACTAGGAATATAAAAAGTAAAATGAAGCAATTCTTGGAACTTCCTCTTTAAAATTCTAACCCTGTTTTGAAATTGTAGTCAAAATGGCATATGTGGTTAACCCACTGAATTACACCATGTTCTTGGTAAACTTATATTGTATATTCAGCAAATAACATTCCTTTAAGGGGTAATTCTCAAGTCACTCATTTCTATTAAGATTTGGCATTGTACTACATAATATTGGGGAGTATACTAGGACTATTTTTGCCAATACTAATATCATTTGATAGCAAAACCAAAGCCAACTCGCAGTCTTCCAAGATAGTGGTAATCAGAACTGCACAGATCCCTGAATTCTAGATGGAACCCAAAAGTCTCACAGTGGTCAAAAGTCTAAACATTTCTCCTACCCTTCTGCCTGCTACCCCAACTTTCATCTCAGAGTGGCTGGGGTCAGTTACACTTCCAACTTCACCTTCTCTTGGGGAAGGCCAACAAGTCTTCACAGAGCCAGAAGGAAGGAGCAGGGAAACAGCCAGCAAAATGCAATGCTCCGGGTTGTGTGCCCAGATAATTAAAAGCTAACTGTCTTTATAAACACTCAAAATTCTCACTCAATCATCGTTAAACCAGATGTCAGTTGCACTCATATTTTGAGGGAAAAAAAAAAGAATAAGTTTAAACATTTCTAGTCCACGAGAAGAAGCCCACTTCCCTAGACCATAGCCAACTTTTAGCTTACAGTCTCAAGTTATTTTTACTAAACCACAATTATTAACAAGCCAAAAATGAAATACAACTGGAAGAAAAACTAAATAAAACAGGGAAGAAATGAAGGAAGATTGGTTCCAGGACTGGCAATTTATGTACAAGGTTTCATCAATCCATCAAAATCCAAGACAACCTGAGTCCTATTAGGGGCCAGGTAAGTTCACCGAAAACACATACAAAATGTGCTAGTTTTACAGCCTATGCTTCATTATGTTAACAATCACAAAAATCACTTCTAATGAGGACATTGCATTTTGTCTATAAACACAGGTTTATACTCCAAATTATATTGTTGCAGACAATAAGGAAAATATCCTAAGGGAAAAAAGTCTAGCCTTAAATTATTTTTTTCTAGATTAAGGAGTTTTTAAATAACTACCACACAAGGCACAAGTAGATGTGAACAATCATTATCAGGATATTTTAAGTATAGTTCAAATGCTTAATATAATCATGGGTTCTCAACAGCAAAAAGATGGCGTCATTTTTTGCAGAAATGTTTCACACACACATTAGCAAGTCTCAACAATTACCTACTTACCTCCCTGTGAATTACTAGGAAAGGCATCGCTGTGGGATCACATTCATTTTGGGAAATGGTACATCTCTATCACATGTAAGAGTCACTGCTTATTTCACATAAACTTCAAACTGACAGTTACGCCCTTGCTACCTATGATATACTTTACTATCCAGTTTAAGTTTGGTATTATTAAGTAATGCGGCTGAGACGCCCAGTTACACAAGAATTCCTGCAATAATTCTTGATGGATTCCCACTGCAAGCCAACAACAACGAAGTCCATCTGTCAACCTTCCAGAAGCAAAAAGGTCACTACATGTCAACCTTCCAGAAGCAAAAAGGTCACTACAATCTATTCCTAGTGCATACCCAAATGAGATGAAAGCATACCTCCACACAAAAACTTGTATATGAATGTTCATAACAGCCAAAAAGTGGAAACTACCCAAATGTCCATGAACTGATGAATGAACAAATAGAACATGGTGTAAATACACAATGGAATATGATTCAGCAATCACTGGAATGAAGTACAGTGGTCTGCTTCCATGGTTCCACTTTCTGTAGTTGCAGTTACCCACAGTCAACCACAGTCCAGAAATATTAAAAGGAAGATTTCAGAAATAAACAATTCTTAAGTTTTAAATTGCGCATTGTTTTGCATAGTGTGATGAAATCTCAAGCCATTCTGCTGTGTCCCCCTCTGTGAACTGTCCCTTTGTCCAGCATATTCACACTGCATGTGCTCCCTGCCCATGAGTCTCTTAGCAGTCTTCTTGGTTTGCAGATCGGCTGTTGACCACAGTGTTTGTGTTCAAGTCACCCATGGTTGACCTAATAATGGTGCCAAAGCACAAAGAGTAGTGATGCTGGCAATTCCAAAATGCCAAAGAGAAGCTATCAAGTACTCCCTTTAAGTGAAAAGGTGAAAGTTCTTGACTTAATAAGGAAAACAATCATATGCTGAGGTTGCTAAGATCTACAGTATTGCAGGAAGTCAGGGAACCTGAACAGAGGGACCAGCTGAAGCCACGGCAGAAGAACATAAATTGTGAAGATTTCATGTACATTTATTAGTTCTCCAAATGAATACTTTTATAATTTCTTAGGCCTGTCTTTACTGCAATCTCTGAACATAAATTGTGAAGATTTCATGGACATTTATCACTTCCCCAGTCAATACTCTTATAATTTCCTATGCCTGTCTTTACTTTAATCTCTTAATCCCATCATCTTCATAAGCTGAGGATGTATGTCGCCTCAGGACCCTGTGATGATTGTGTTATCTGTACAAATTGTTTGTAAAACATGTGTGTTTGAACAATATGAAATCTGGGCATCCTAAAAGAACAGGATAACAGCGATGTTCAGGAAACAAGGGAGATAACCATAAGGCCTGACTGCCTGCAGGGCCGGGCAGAACAGAGTCATATTTCTCTTCTTGTAAAAGCGAATAGGAGAAATATCACTGAATTCTTTTTCTCAGCAAGGAACAGCCCTGGGAAAAGAATGCATTCCTGGGGGAAGCCGCTAAAATGGCCGCTCTGGGAGTGTCTGTCTTATGCAGTTGAAGATAAGGGATAAAATACGCCCTGGTCTCCTGCAGCGCCCCCAGGCTTGCTAGGATTAAGAAATTCCAGCCTGGCGAATTCTAGTCAGACCAGTTCTCTGCTCTTGAACCCTGTTTCCTGTTAAGATGTTTATCAATGACAATGGGTGCACAGTGGGACATGAAACCTCATCAGCAATTCTAATTTCACCCTGGCCTTGTGATCTTGCTCTGCCCCCATTTGCCTTGTGATATTTTATTGCCTTCTGAAGCATGCGATCTCTGTGACCCACGCCCTATTCGTACACTCCCTCCCCTTTTGAAACCCCTAATAAAGACGTGTTGGTTTTGCAGCTTGGGGGCATCACAGAACCTGTCAACATGTGATGTCACCCCCGGAGACCCAGCTGTAAAATTTCTTATTTATTTCTCAGACCGGCCGACACTTAGGGAAAATAGAAAATAACCTACATTGAAATATTGGGGGCTGGTTCCCTTGATACTACAGTAAAAAAAAAAAAAAAAAATCTTCTATCTTGGAAATTGTAAAGAAAGAGAAAGAAATTCATGCTAGTTTTGGTTGTCACACCTCAAACTGCAAAACTTATGACCACAGTGCATGACAGGTGCTAAGATGGAAAAGACATTAAATCTGTGAGTGGAAGACAGGAACAGAAATATGTTCTGATTGACAGCAGTCAAGTTTGGTACTTTCCTCAGTTTCAGGCACCTACTGGGGGAGTCTTAGAACACATTCCTTGTATCAGGAAACGTACTTCCTGATAAGGGAACACTACTGTACTAATACATGCCATCACATAAATAAATCTTGAAAACATTAGGGTTAAGGTAAAAAAAGACCAAATATGGTATTATTCTATTTACGTGAAATGTCCAGAATAAGGTAATCCTAGGAACAAAAAGCAGATTAATGGTTGTCAGGGGCTAGGGGAGAGAGAGAATGGAGAGTGACTGCTAATGAATACATGTTTTCTTTGGTGAAAATGTTTTGAAATTAGATGTGGTGATGGCTCGGCAATTCTGTGAATATATTAAAAGCCACTGAATTATATACTTTAAAAGAGTGAATTGTATAGTATGTGAATTATATCTCAATAAATGTTTTTTTAAAAAATTTATTTGAACTGTACACTGAGACATTTGTGCATTTTGTTCAAACTCAATAAAGGTAACTTTTTAAAAGATAGTTACAAAGACCTTTCGCACCATCTCATGCCCCATATACAAAAGAAGTTCAACAGAAGTTAAGCTATTTAAATGATTCCTGTACTCTAAATGCCTACCCCTCCCCGAAAAAAAAAAAAAAAACTTAAATATATTTTGGCCAGATGAAATGTCTCACATCTGTAATTCCAGCACTTTGGGAGGCCAAGTAGAAGGATCACTTGAAGCCAGGAGTTCCAGATCAGCCTGAGCAACATAGTGAGAAGCCATCTCTACAAAAAATTAAAAAATTAACCAGGTGAGGGGGCACATGTCTGTAGTCCCAACTACTCAGGAGGATTCCTTGAATCCAGGAGGTTCAAGACTGCAGTAAGCTATGATCCTGCCACTGCACTCTAGCCTGAGCAACACAGCTAGACCCTATCTCTTAAAAATATATAAGTATATTATATTACATATATGTATTTATATTTTTTTCACAAGAATAGGTCTTAATTTGCAAAGTGGAATTTCTACCCCAGCTACTTTATATCCAGAAATATTTTAATATGAAATTCTGATATTTCCTCCTTTCATATATTTGCATCTATCTTAAGTGTTTCATCTTTGCATTATATATAAATAATTCCACAGGACAAGGTTTTCTCAGGTACATTTATTGTCTTTTTCCATAATTCACTTTAATTGTATGGTCTCAAAGCTGAAAACACACGAAAGATATCACAAAGAGGGCCACATTAAATGGGTTTGTAGAATTCTCCAACTCCCTGTTGAGAGTTAATTACATTCCCAATGGCAGAATTGTGGAGAAATCAGCTTTCCTCAAACAACTTGCAGAAACAGTTTTTCCTAGATTCTTTCTAGGGCCTTAAGCGATCTCAACAAAGTTTCCAGCTTATTTATCTCAAAAGTAGATACACTGACAGCTCTACAATGCATCTAATTATTAGTTTCCCGTTGATCAAGTAGTAATTTTATTTCCACTTATTGGAATCATTTGATTAAAGGTTATAAAAGTTGAAGCATGAAGAATAGTATCTTAAAATACTTTCTGGTATATTGAGAAATATAAAAGATCAATACACATGTTCCCTTTCAAGATAACAAAGAAAAGGAAGACACTGCCTGATATGGTTTGGCTGTGTCCCCACCCAAATCTCATTGTGAATTGTAGCTCCCATAATTCCCACTTGTTGTGGGAGGGACCCAGTGGGAGATAATTGAATCATGGGGGCAGTTTCCCCTATACTGTTCTTGTGATAGTGAATAAGTCTCATGAGATCTGATGGTTTTATAAGGGGTTTCCTCTTTTGTTTGGCTCTCATTCTCTCTTGCCTGCCATCATGTAAGACATCCCTTTGCTCATCCTTCATCTTCCACCATGATTGTGAGGCCTCCCCAGCCATGTAGAACTGAGTCCATTAAACCTCTTTCCTTTATAAATTACCCAGTCTCAGATGTGTGTTTATTAGCAGCATGAGAATGGACTAATACACCACCCGTACAAATACATGAGTTTGTTTTTCAAAAAAAATTTTCTTGGCCTTGAGAACGTGCCTTCAGGAAGTCACCCGACCTCCTTCCAGAGTGTGGCTAGCTCTCTCTGCTTCCACCTTCTCCTCATGCCAATCTGAATGTGTATTGGCATTCATGGCTCCCTTACTGATCTAAGCTCCTAAAGAAGATATCACAGCCCACAGGCTAGTTCCAACCCGTGCACATGTGTTGTTTGGCCCATAAGGTATGTCGACGTTGGGAAAGATCAAAAATGTGGATCACCAGCTTCCTTTAAAAAAGAAACAGTCTGGCAACGTTCGACGTGCGTTACCTCATAGCCACAACTGGCTGCTCTGGAGAAAACCCACTCTCAGGAGAGTGGCAGTCCCCACACCTCCCCTCGGCTCAGTCCACCCCAAGTCTACCTGTCTGGCCCCTGCAGGCATGGGAGCTTGGGAATACATGGGCTTTTTTGTTTGTATCCTCAAGACCCAGCATAACGCCTGCCCTGTGGACAGGACTCACCTGTTAACTCAGGGTTCAGTGTGTAGAAGAACCACTTGGGAAGCTTGGGGCAAATAATGGTCCCAAGCCTTCCTCTAAGGAATCCTGATTCAAATGGCCTGGATTGACACCTGGAAGTCTGCCTCTCCCAGAAGGCCCTTAACTGGGTTTTACTAAGAATGGTCTCTGAAAAACTTTGAGTGGAAAGAACCTGAGAGACCTACTACTAAGTCCCAATTCTATAAACAGGTGCTTGATTTTTGAATGGGTATCTAAGGTTCTTATGAGACTTGATTTCCTTATATGAAACAATTTGTACTAAATCATCATCTCATCTCACAGCTTTAAATGCTTCGGGTTTTTGTTTGTTTGTTTGTTTGTTTGTTTTTTTGAGATGGAGTCTCACTCTGTCGCCCAGGCTGGAGTGCAATGGCACAATCTCGGATCACTGCAACCTGCGCCTCCCAGGTTCAAGCCATTCTCCTGCCTCAGCTTCCCAAGTAGCTGGAACTACAGCCACACACCACCATGCCCGGCTCATTTTTGTATTTTTAGTAGAGACAGGGTTTCACCACATTGGCCAGGCTGGTCTCAATCTCCTGACCTCGTGATCCACCCGCCTTGACCTCCCAAAGTGCTGGGATTACAGGCATGAGCCACAGCGCCCGGCCAGCTTCGGTTCTTTACTGGAAATGTAAGGAAATCAGGCATGAAATCAGTTTCTGTTCTCTGCTGCCACCTGCTGGCACATTCTGAGTACTGCAGCAGTCTAAACAGCCTTGGGACCAGTTTTCCCCTATTTTTAATGGCTAGATCTAGGTACATAAAACATACAACAAAAACAGCTCATTTCAAAGTTTAAAACACATCATCAAGTAATAGTTGGTGAAAATGAAGAAGATTTTTATATAACACCACTAGTCTGTCAGCTTTATTAAATACACGAGAGCTTCTGATGTGTTTCTACAAAACTGGTTTTGAAGCATTAAAATAGATTGAGACTTTTCATGGCAAAATTTGCACATTAAAGTACACAATCTGGTTAGTTGTAGCTTTGGGGCCCACAACATGAAACAACTTTCTAGGGTTAAAAACATTCCAGGCCAGGCGTGGTAGCTCACGCCTGTAATCCCAACACTTTGAGAGGCCAAGGCGGGCAGATCACGAGGTCAAGAAATCAAGACCATCTGAGCCAACACGGTGAAACCCCGTCTCTATTAAAAATACAAAAATTAGCTGGGTGTGGTGGCATGTGCCAGTAGTCCCAGCTACTCAGGAGGCTGAGACAGGAGAATCGCTTGAACCCGGGAGGCGGAGGTTGCAGTGAGTGCACTCCAGCCTGGGCGACAGAGCGAGACTCCGTCTCAAAATAAAAATAAATTCCAAAATGGAATGGTGTGCATTTTGGGAGAAAAAATCCTGACACAGAAAATGTTCAGAAGCCAAACATATATAAATCACCTTGATTCAGTGAGACATCTAAGATTCCTCTCAACACCCTCAAGTCTTTCTCTTCTCCAAGAAGGTACAACCAAGAAGCTCATGAAGCTGGGTTCTCTGAGGCTTATGAGTATAGGTTATACATGGATTCTGCCTTCTAGCCTACAAGTACAGCTCAGAAGGGAGTTAATATGGGTGGACAAATGAACATAACAAATTGAAGATCCTTGCCTGAATGTTGAGGCAAAACTGAGAAAGATTCACACAGGAGCCATGGGGTGTGTCGGAGTGTGTGGGAGGCAGGAGGGCCCGGGTTAATCCGGAGGCTCCTCAAGGATGATTGCTTCACCCTCGAAACTGTGAAGGTTGACTTGCCAGCCACTCCCTCCTTCGATTCTCCCTGAGCTCACCGGCTAGGTGCTCTTCCTCTAACGTTTCAAACTTTGTTCGTTCAAGGACAAACTCCAAGCCCTAGTCCTCAAGTTAGTCCTCTGGTTCTCCACTCCTCACATTTCCTGCTCCCAGGTGAGCATTTGCCCTGGAGTGCCCTTATCTTAACTCATTCCCAGCATGTAAACAGACCTCCCCTCTCACCCAAGACTCAGCTACCACATCTCACTTCTCTGTTGAAACCATGATACCGACATTCTCCCAACGTCCCAGACTCAACATCAGAATGAACCTTCTCTGTCCCTCCAAATCCATGTAATTCTCTCCACTCTGGTTCTAGGCTTCTCTGGCAGATGTGACACTCAACATTCTCCTATGGATTGTTCTGCCTTAATCTCCTCTACTACCCTAACACTTCAATGCCTGCCTGTATTCTTCCTTAAAAATCAAAACAGTCTTCCTCACAAAAACAAACACTGCTCAAAACCTTCCAGAGATCCATTCTGCCTGCAGAGTGAGGCCTTCCTACCTACCTTCGAGCCCCTTCGCCCCTTCATTCTCACACCTGAATCCTTGGTTTTACCTAGACAAAAGAACCCAGAGCCTTCATTTCTCCATCTTAACAATTCCAATTACGTCTTTCCCCTGTCAGCCCCAAACATGACTGTCCCAAAGGGAGTCTTTCTCCCCCATAACTTCTGTGACACGGATTTTCTAAGACTAAGTCAGTAGTTACACCATTCTGCCTTATGGCATCATCATCTGCTCATCTTCTCTTCCGTCCTAGATTGAAACTTTATTGAGGTCAGGAAACTCCATAAAGATTTTACACATCTTTTTCTGTATTCTCCCACTGTATGACATGCATGACAGTAAGTATTCGTAAATAGTTTTTTTTTTTATTTTAAGGTCCCCTAAAAGCAAAATGATTAAAAGAAAAGACAGACTACTGCTCAAGGCATACAGAGAAGTTTTAACTAAGGTTCAGAGACTAAAGAGCACAAATCAGGAAAAAGATGTTGACTTTAGGTACAATGAGAGACAGCAAGATGGGGGAGCTGCCCAACAACCACAGAAGGCAGTCACAAAGAGGAGGAGAGGGTGAGAAAGAAAACCAGCCTCACTGCCTCTCAGCCAGGCCACCCATGCTCCTCGGCCACATGCAGAAACAAGAGTCCCTGAGCAGACAGATGGCACCTACGCTGGGGGAAAACACTCTGAGCCTTTGGCAGGAAAGGAAAGACCTAACAAATGCCTTGACAGGAGAGGAGAAGTCTGAAACCCAGCATTAACTAATATTTTCCTCCACAACAGAGAATAATGATAATTACCCTATGTCCTGGAACAGAGCATGGAGTCAGAAGACAGAAAAGCCGGAGGAAAAGGAGAACAGATTCAGTGACGGTAGGGAGGAGGGCTCCCAGTGCCACATGAAATAATTATCACCCCAGCCTGAAGCAGAGCCAGGTGGCAGCCACAGACAGGGGAGATCCACACAGCTGATATGAAATTTTGATGAATTCCTTAATGGCTGCACAATGAAGCCCATATTCCAGAAACAGGCTAATAATAGAACAAATGTCAGTGCTACACAAAAAGACTTAAAATTGCCTTTGTTATTTACTCATCTGTATTTATACATTTATCAAAATGTGGTTGTTTAATAAGCACTTTCATGAATAAGAAGGATGATGGATTATATCATGCATACTAGTCTTGCTTCTTTGAACTCTAAGCTGATATTCCAGGCCATTGTATTAACTGTATTACCAAAAAAAGGCCAGATAATACAGCTACCCATACACTTGACCCAAAATTATAGCTTCAGTGATTAAGTGAGATCTGTATATGCCACTTCCTGACACTGAGGAACTGAGCAAAGTTACAGCTTCTGTAATATAGTCTTAATCTCAAAATAGCAGACTCCTTTTCACAGGAGTATGCAGAGTGCCCTGTAAACTCTAGCTTGTCTAAGCCAAACAGGATGCTTCCGCACTGCTTCACATTTGCCTAAAAGCCTTCTTTTACCCTCCAAAGTCAAAAGAAGAAGACTGAAGGGCACCAGTATTATCTCCTTCTATAAAAAGCCTTGAGGAAATAAGTTAAATCTCCTAGAGAAAGGTTACACTTCAGGAAGACATTGACTGAGAAGGCACAGCCATTCGATAACTGGTATGAAGTGAAGCTCCAAACTAAAAGAGCTAAAACTTGACTAGACAATCCCAAAGGAATATGAGTAGTAGCAAGCATGCATGCAGGATCCTAAAGTAATTAGGAAAAAAATGGCCGAGTGCAGTGGCTCATACTTGTAAGTCCAGGCTGGGCAACACAGAAAGACCCTACGTACAAAAAAATTAAAAAGATGAGCCAGGCATGGTGGTGTGCGCCTGTGGTGCCAGATACTCGGGAGGCTGAGATGGGAGGATCCCTTGAGTCCAGAAGTTCAAGGCTGCAGTAAGTTATGATCATGCCACTGCACTCCAGAGCAAGACTCTGTCTCTGGAAAGAAAAAAAAAAAAAGGAAAAGAAACATATTTAAGGAATCGTAGCACTCCTATGGGTTATGTGTAAAAATCTCTTAAATAATAGACACTGAATGAACTAACGACCCTGAAACTAGCTGGTGTCTGTTGGCTTGTGACCCAATCTGCAGAACTAGGGCCTGGGTAGTCTGGAGCTAGTACAGATCAAGAATACTTGAGCAAAATGGTAACAGTTAGGTTTTCCTGGGTAGATGTAATAAGAGGACAATAGAGCAAGTTTGAAAATACTGTCACAAAAGTGGCTTAGTATCAGCTTGTGCAGACTACATAATGCAGGAGGAGGCAGAAAGTCAAGAGGTTTTGATAAAACAGGTATAGTTGAAGCTGCAAGGTAAGATATTGGGATTTAATAATGCAAAGGTGAAGCCTCCCCAGGAAATTACTAAATCCAGTACTAAGACATCAAAGAAAGTGGTTGGAGTAGAAATGGAGGTCATGGAATTGGGAAGTTAGAGAACTCAGCAGGCCCTCCAGGTCTGCACTGTGTTCACCCAGCAGGATGGCAGGGTTAGGGTGGGGAGGAGGCAGCTGGGCGCAGTCTTCACTGAGTAAAGAGGGGTGAATGGGGGGTCAGTATCCTAATGAGGAGGAGGGATGTTGGATAGTTTAACCAAAGGAGATTAAGCATAGATATTTCCATGTGAACACTTCAGGCTAATTGTCTGGAAGTAGCCCCTTTTCTCAGCCCTGTAGTATGTAGGGTACAGAGGAAACATCAGACTCCACTGGGGAAGGCTATAGGAGAAAGAGAGGACTGGGTTTCAAAGCCCGAAGAAAGAGATCAACACTGGAGTGTTCATCATAGAACAACTGCTCCAGAGGCCAGAGTGAAAAGGCCCAGGAGGAAGCATGGGAACTGGACAGGGAGCCTGAGTGTTCAGGCTGATGATGAAAACTCCCCCATCCCAGGCAATGACTGAGGCTGACGTGAGTTGGCCAAGTTGTTTACTGTGACACCAGGTTGTTTACTGTTAAGTCAGGCCAAGACCATACAAATCCTGCATCTTTTCTTATGATAAAGCAGTCTGCATTTTTTAAACTAAACTGAACAAACATCCTCTACTCAACACACCCAAAAGATTGATGGCATGAATAATACTGCAAATATTAGGTCATTGGTCTATAAACAGTGAGATGGTTTCATTATATTCACCTTACCTGAAGCAAAACTAATTTTTTTAAAGCTTTGTGAAAAACACTTTTCTCAGTCAGTTTGGCTTACAGAAATCTTCTAGTTTTGTTTAAAGAGTACACTCCAATTGGACTTAACAAAACTTCTCATTTACTAAAATTAAATCTCCAGTTTTAACTGCATGTAAAATATGTATGAATAAAATATGTATGAATACATATACATATCTACATATATATTATAAATATGTATAAAAATTTTATGTGTAAAGACAATTTATAGGTAATCCCTTACACATTCTCTGAAAATTTCCTTGCAACATTATCAGAAAAAGTAGTGGCAATTATTATTCAGGCAGTGGAAACTATTGTTCATCCTTTCAGCAAGTATCTGTGCACATTTCCTCAGTACTATGCTAAAAGTAATGTGGAAGACAAACGAACTGACAAACCCATTTCCAATTTTATTGAAAACCACACCTTAAACTAAGGGTGACCAAACTAGAGCCTGTGGGCCAAACTTGGCCTATCACTTGTTTTTATAAGTAAAGTTTTACTGGAATATAAGCTTTCAATCACTTACAAGGGGAGTTCTTACTACAGTAGAGAGAGAGAGTTGAGTAGTCTTACCAGAGACCCATTGGCCATAATGCCTAACAGATATACTATCTTGTCCCTTGCAGGAAAAATTTGCCAAATGCTGTAATTAACATTTGTCAATCAAGTACTTTATTTATTCAAATACATTGGTGCCAAACCTAGTACTCAGACAGATACAAATATATATATTTATCACAGCATGCCCTGGAGGAGCTCTCAAATATAGGACAAAACACCAAATAAGAGCGTGGGGTCCTGGTGACATTTTGGGCAGGCCTCCCGGAAAGCCTAGTGTAGGCAGATCAAAGCAGAGAAGACCCCCCAGCCTGGACCACCTTTGAGGAAAAAGATCACTGTGATCATCCAGAGATCACTCTGGTTTGGTCTTTTCTGAGGAGAAGGTGGCTCAGGCTATGTGGAGGCCACAGCCTGTAATCCCAGCTACTAAGGAGGCTAAGATGAAAAGATCGCTTGAGGCCAGGAGGTGGAGACTGGTCTGGACAACATAGTAAGACCCCCATCTCTAAAAGTAAAATAAAAATAAAAATAAGTAGAACTGTTTAAGAAAAAAAAAAAAAGGAGGGCTCAGCACCTTCCTGGCTCTTTAGTCGGAAAGGGTTCTCTTCGGTTCTCTTTCCACAGCCAAAGTGAGAGGAATAAGTGTATTAGTCAGGGTTCTCTAGAGGAACAGAACTCACAGGAGACATGTATATATGGTTTAATAAGGAGTATTGACTCACAGGATCACAAGGTCAAGTCCCACAATAAGCCCTCTAAAAGCTGAGAAGCAAGGAAGCCAGTCCGTGTCCCAAAACCTCAAAAGTTAGAGAAGCTGACAGTGCAATCTCCAGTCTGTGGCTGAAGGCCCGAGAGCCATGGCAAACCGCTGGTGTAGGTCCAAGAGTCCAAAACCTGAAGAACCTGGAGTGTGATGTTTGAGGGCAGGAAGCATCTGGCACAGGAGAAAGATGAAGGCCAGAAGGCTTAGCAAGTCTGCTCTTTCCACCGTCTTTTGCCTGCTTTATTCTAGCTGTGCCAGCAGCTTATTAGATGGTGCCCACCCAGATTGAGGGTGGGTCTGTCTCTCCCAGCCCACTGACTCAAATGTTAATCTCCTTTGGCACCACCCTCACAGACACGCCCAACACAATACTTTGCATCCTTCAATCCATCAAGTTGACACTCAATATTAACCATCACAGTATGCTCTACACTGGAAAAATTGAGTATGTTCATGAAATGCTGTATCTTGGAAAATAGCTATAGTTCCTGGAAATCCTACCCAGGACATGAGCATTTAATCCTATGTCCAGTGGGGAATTCAACCCACAATGGGATTGGAGTTAAAACTCAGTCCCAGAGCCTACTGACTTCTGGTTGTGTGGCCAGGCAGAAGAGCACTTTTCTAAAGCCATCCTCTTAGAGACGTGAAATTAAATAAATGATGTGGAGTGAGCTGCTTATTCCTGACCTAAATGAAGTGATGTAATGAATTCTGAAGATGAACTCTTAGAGGAAGATAAAGATCAGATAATTAGAAAAACAAACCTCAGGTTTCTTTCCAAATGGGCCAGAAAAATGAAAGAGAGGTAAATGTCAATGCATATACAGAGTACACTTCTGAAATTTCCTTAAATATGTAGAATAAATTTCAAGAATTGCATTAAAAACATTCCAAACATAAAACCTCAAGACTGAGCGGGGAGAAGAAAATACTCAAAAAGATAAATTAAAGAATAAAGAGGCAGCTCATAGGGAATGATCATTAAATAAAGCCCAATGGAAGGAGCTTATTCAATTTTGGCATCAGTGATGGGTTTGAAGAAATAGAAAAAAGAAAAAAAAATGAGTAAGTCAGGCCTTTGAGAGAAAAGCACAGAACAGTGTGTGGAGAGACGGAATATGAAGAATATTGAAGACTTTAGCAAGTAGCTTGGTGTCAAAAATGTCAAAGCTGCTGCCTGCTACAACTTTGCGAAAGCCAAAAAGGAGGCTGCAAATTCATGAGTTACTCAGAAAAAGAAGAAACTTCCATGGGGGGTTAATGCAAAGAATAGATGGGAAACCAAAAACAACATGGGATATATATATCTTGGCCAGCCTTCTTCAATACATTGATAGGCTCCAAGGGCTTAGGAAAAGATGTTCCTGCTTGTGTTAAATGTGTCAGAAAACCGACAGAAGTTGAAAGAATAAGCATAGATACGGGAGCTAATTATCAAATCTTTTCAACCTTTTTCTAAGGAGTTTATCC
Source organism: Homo sapiens (assembly GCF_000001405.40). Classification (NCBI taxonomy): domain Eukaryota; kingdom Metazoa; phylum Chordata; class Mammalia; order Primates; family Hominidae; genus Homo; species Homo sapiens. The sequence continues at coordinate 75,688,387 of NC_000013.11, read as the reverse complement.
CAGTGAAGTGAATGAAATGGAGCTTTCTGTTATTCGCACAAGAATTCTAAGCATACATATGGGGGAAATGGCAGGATTTTTAACAATTATATAGACCTACAGTATGAAATCCATTTTCATTTTTATCATGTGGGTTCAGCATAGCCATTGAGCTTCTTACACCTTGACTTGGTTTAAAGGTACTGTGTTACTCTGCTCTCATGCTGCTAATAAAAACATACCCAAGACTGGGTAATGTATAAAGAAAAACAGGCTTAATGGACTCACAGTTCCACATGGCTGCGGAGGCCTCACAATCATGGTGGAAGGCAAAGGAGGAGAAGGGCACATCTTACGTGGCGGCAGGCAAGAGAACATATGCAGGGGAACTCCCCTTTATAAAACCATCAGATCTCGTGAGACTTATTCACTATCACAAGAATGGCATGGGAAAGAACCACCCCCATGATTCAATTACCTCCCACCAGGTCCCTCCTACAACACGTGGGGATTATGGGAGCTACAATTCAAGATGAGATTTGGGTAGGGACACAGCAAAACAATATCAGGTACTTATTCTTGCATTTTATTTTTAAGATTGCTGTTCATAATGGATTAATCATAAGTACCAAGAGAGTCTATCTCAGCTGATGGTGTCTTTACAAACACTTTAATTACTTTGTTATAAAAGTAATTCTTAAATCTTTAGTGGGAGACAGTAGAATTAATATTTCAGTCACATTGTAAAAGCCATTAATTTTCTGTTCCTTTGAATAAAATATTTCAATAAAAAAGCAAATAAAATACATAACAAGTGCTATATACAGGTACACATTCAATGCTATAGAGTAACTCTGCTTGGAAAAAAAAAGTTTGAGTGAAAAAAAATGTATTTTATTGGAGTTAACCAAGTAGAGAAAAATGGAGAGGAAGACAAGTATAAAGTCAGTACAAAGCTCCCTTCAGTCTGTCCTTTTTCCCCAAGAATCTCAGTGGTAAAGTATGAAGTTCAAGAAATCCTTGTTGAATAAATACTACCCTCTGGTGGCCACATTGTACTTTGTGCTCCAGAACTGTCCTGTTTTTTCCTTCAAAACTTACCCATCCTGTATTCCAGTCACCCAAGACTCTGATCTGACATGACAGCCTAATATTTCTGACAAAACTGACACTAATACAGTCAAGTTTTAGACTCCTCACACAATCAGTGGTCACTTTATAGAAACAAATCCTGGAAACAGTCACAAAAAATAAATCCAGGACAGGGATAATACCCTTCATGCAGGGAGAATCCATAGTGTATCCCCTCACTTCCTGACAGGATGGATGCAATGCACTGAATGTATCTCCCCAACATTCATATGCCAAAATCCTAACCCTCAATGTGACAGTATTAGGAGGTAGGGCCTTTGGAGGTAATTTAGATCATGAGAATGGAGACCTCATCTATGAAATTTGTGCCCTTAGAAGAGACCCTAGACAGCTCTCTAGCCCTTTTCTGCTATGTGAGGACGCATGGAGAGTGCCAGCTATGAACCAGGAAGTGGTCCCTCACTTCCAGATCTTCTGGTGCCTTAATCTTGGGCTTCCCAGCTTCCAGAACTATGAGAAATAAGTGTCTGTTGCTGAAGCCATGCACCCTATATACTCTGTTATAGCAGCCCTGACTGACAATGACTAACCACACATTTGCACATCTTCTCCTCAATGTTTCTCCAGCTTTCTTACTGCAAGGATTCACTTTTGGATACTGTTGCCACAAACTTTCCCTAGACCCTTCTGTACACATTCCACTAGTCTGTCAAATCTAAAATCCTCTCCCATAAAGCCAACTCCAATATATTTTATCCCTTACAGAGAGTTTAAAAAAAAAAAAAAAAAAGGTAAGATAGGGCCAGGCATGGCAGCTTACCCCTTGATATGGTGTGGCTGTATCCCCACCCAAATACCATCTTGAAACCCTATGTGTTGTGGGAGGGACCAGGTGGGAGATAATTGAATCATGTGGGGAAGTCTTTCCCATGCTGTTCTCGTGATGATGATTAAGTCTCACGAGATCTGATCATTTTATAAAGAGGAGTTCCCCTGCATGAGTTCTCTCTCTTCTCTTGTCTGCCACCAGGTAAACATGCCTTTCACCTTCCACCATGATTGTGAGCCACGTGGAACTGTGAGTCCAATAATCTTCTTTTGGAAATTGCCAAGTCTTGGGTATGTCCTTATCAGTAGCGTGAAAATGGACTAATACACCCCTGTAATCCCAGCACTTTAGGAGGCTGAAGTGGGAGGACTGCTTGAGCCCAGGAGTTCAAAACCACCCTGGACAACATGGTGAGACCACGTCTCTACTGAAAAATTTTCAAAAAATTAGCCAGGAGTGGTCATGCACACCTGTAGTCCCAGCTATGCAGGAGGATCACTTGAGTCCTGGAGATCAAGGCTGCAGTAGGCTATGATTGGGCCACTGCCTGGGTGACAGAGTGAGACCCTGTCTCAAAAAAAAAAAAAAAAAAAAAAAGAGAAAGAAAAGGTAGGATGAAAAACCCTTGGTTTGATTGGTCTTCATTTCCCAGTGAATTGATGTAAGAGTAGCCATTTTCTCCCTATTTATCATCCCTCATTTCATGTACATAATTATGGCCCGTGGATATATCTCATATGTCCAGGCTTTTCCCACCTTCTCTTACTCTTCAAATTTTTTGTCTATCAGCCACCATTCCAGGCCTCAGAGAGCTATGCATTCAAAGGTAAGCCTGAAACTCTGGTTTCATTTCAACACGTTCTTTGGCAGCCATTTTGGTATAAACAATGAGCAGCTGAGTAACCAGTTAGTTCCACAGGACAAATCCAAGCAAATATTCCACAGGCTCAAGTGCTTCCCCCTGTTGACAAGGCCTGGAGGCTGCTTAGGATGGGCAGATGAGAAGATTAAAATGCATTGCCAGGCTTTCATCTTTTAATTGGTCTCTCTCTTTGGCATTCTTTTGGAAGACAAAAGCGTGGGATGAGGCTTTAGTTTCCTTCCACTTCACACAAACATGAGTCAACTCTAGCCAGAAGGGGTAAAGAACACTCAAATATGTGGCATAGCAGCCTCATTCCCAGAGGCCAGCACAGTTCACAGAAACTGCAAACCCAGCTTACTCCAAGTCCATGTCTGAGTCTTACAGGATGTTTACTGAGTATCTGCTATGCAAAATGAAATCAAAGCAAATTCCATGGAAAATCTAAACCGAAAGATACTCAGGTGAAATCTTTTCATGTTATCTAACAAATTCTGGGAAAATCACCTAGATGATAAACAACTGGAAAGTTATGGAAAACATTATTTCCAGTTTCCAGTATTGCTGCTTTCACAAAATAATTTACTGAATAGCTAAAGATAGGCGGAATTCACCAGAGTTAACCCAACAAATCGCAATGCCATAGAAGATCAAACCTTAAAGGGGCCGCTACAATTATCTAACAGCTGGCATAAGTGTAAATCACTATAAGTGAGAAAATTAGGGCTCTTGCCTTAAAGAGACAAAGTAACATTGGTAGGGCTGAGCAAACTGTGTGTGTGTGTATGTGCGTGTGTGTATATATGTATATACATATACACACACACACATATATACACATACGTATATACACACACGTATATATGTATACAGCAACAAGCACAAGGTTTGGGTTAGACACAACTGTTTCAATTCCAGCCCTGCCACTCTCTAGCTATGTTACAGGATTTCGAAGCCTCCCCCTATTTTTCCTTCTATTTAACCCTATTTACCTAAGAAGGTTGGCCAACTCCTATGTCCTTCCCAAAGGCTTTCTGCCTTTCATGGTAAAACTTGTTTAAAAAAAAAAAAAAAAAAAGCCGGCCGGGCGCAGTGGCTCACGCCTGTAATCCCAGCACTTTGGGAGGCCAAGGAGGGCGGATCACCTGAGGTCAGGAGTTCAGGACAAGCCTGACCAACGTGGAGAAACCGCGTCTCTACTGAAAAAAAATACAAAATTAGCCAGACATGGTGGCACATGCCTGTAATCCCAGCTACTCAGGAGGCTGAGGCAGGGAATCGCTTGAACCTGGGAGGCGGAGGTTGCAGTGAGCAGAGATTGCAGAGATTGCACCATTGCACTCTAGCCTGGGAGACAAGAGCGAAACTGCATCTCAAGAAAAAAAATTTCAAGGTGACAAAGTTGGGATACAAAGCACTTTTCCAGTACTTCTGTACACCAAAAATAAAATTCTAAGGCCGCCCCCAACCATCTAAATGGACCCCTTCCCTCAGCCAAGGGCATTGCAAAGTTAACCTGAAAAACGAGTTCAGGATAAGATGGGAAGTGGAGGTGGGGGTCAGATGCCTCATTCTGTCCCCCCTCCCTTTTGGAATTCAGGAAAAGCTGACCAACATTAACATCAACCCAGACCTTAACTCTGATAAGACATATTCACAATTTATTCTCTCTGAAGCCTGCTACCTGGAGGCTTCATCTGCATAAAACCTTGGTCTCCCCAATCCCTTATCATCATTCAGGCATTCCTTTTTATTGATAATAATTCTATCAACAAATTGCCAATCAGAAAAATTTTTAATCAACCTATAAGCTGGAAGCCCCCTTGCACTGAGTTGTCACACTTCCAGATGGAACCAATGTAAATCTTACATGTATTGATGTATATCTCCCTAAAACATATAAAAGCAAGCTGTACCCTGACCACCTTGGGCACATGTCAGGACCTCCTGAGGCTGTGTCCTTAACCTTGGCAAAATAAACTTCCTAAATTGATTGAGACCTGTCTCAGATACTATTGGGTTCACACTTCATATTGCCAAGGTATATACTTAAGATATTGCCCTTGGGTTTAAAAGTACTGGAGAACAACGGCATAGCTGACTAGAAATCTGCTAAGGAAAATATAAGGATGAGACTGTATTAAATAAGAATGATAATCATTGGTGCTGGAACACAACTGGACTTCTATATGCAAACCAACGTAAACCTCAATTCAAACTGTCCACCATATGCAAATATAAATCAAAAAGTATCTTAGACCTAATTGCAATATCCAAATCTATAAAACTTTTAGAAGTTTTATAATATTGGAAATAAATTTGTGATATTTGGCTAGGCAAAAATGTCTTAGATATGAACCACAAGCACAATCAATAGAAGGGGAAAAGAGATGAACTGGATTTCATCCAAATTAAAACTTTTACTCTTTGAAAGGCACTGTTAAGAGGCTGAGGCAGGAGAATCACTTAAACCCAGGAGGTGGAGGTTGCAATGACCTGAAATCACCACTGCACTCCAGCCTGGGCAACAGAGCAGAACTCCATCTCAAAAAAAAAAAAAAGAAAAAAAAAGTCAAACCACTGGAAGTAAATGTTTGCAAAACATATCTGATAAAAGACTTGTATCTAGAAAATAGAACTCTCAAGCAATCCAATTTAAAAGATGGGCAAACAAATAATCTGGACACTTCATCGAAGATACATAGATGGCAAATAAGCACATGAGAATATGCTCAATGTCAATAGTATAATAAAAAGACTCAATTTTTAGTATAAGCCTTGTGGATTAATTCAATGGACATTTATTAGGCTCTTATTGTAGTAAACATTGGATTTGCAAAATCATATGACATGCGTTGCTTTTAAGGAGTCAAGATGTGTGGGGAACAAAGGTAAATGAACAATGAAATGGACTAGAAGTACAGTAATACATCCCATAATGACTGGATATTTCTGAGAAGTGTATTCTCAGGCGATTTTGTAAACATAAATAAATAAATAAAGACTGTTTTTGATGTTGACCTCTGACAGCTTTCAAGGCCACCACCCTCCCCTTTCCTCTTTACCCCACATCTGGGCAACCTGATAAGAAAGCCCATGTATACCATCTGTCCCTTGGCACTCATGGAAATTTCAAACTACCCATCCTGGGTGGCAAAAAAGAGGCACCCCATCCAGGCTCCACCCCTTAACCACAATAAAAATTTCAAACCACCAACCCTCTCCCCATCTCCTAACTTCAGACAAAATCCAAGCCCTTCTCCTGGGAATCTTTGGCTATTTACTTTGTGTGCCATTTGTCCTGACATCCAGAAATTCATGAAGAAGTAGCTAAGGCCTAATGTCTAACAGAGGATGCTAGGTGCTCCAACTTAACAATTAAGTCATTAGGTAAATGCAGATTAAAACCACTACTGCATACCTACAAACATATTAGTACTACCTTTAAGAATGGCTAAAATTTTAAGAACTCAAAATAGCAAGTGCTGACAAGGGTGTAGAAGAATAGAACTCTCATACATTGTTGGTAGGAATGCAGAACATTGTGGCCAATGTGGAAAGCAGTTCATCTATTTCTTGTAAACTTTAGCATATACTTTCCATATGCCCCATCAATCCCACTCTTCAGTATTTACTCAGATAAATAAAAACCGTAGGATGAATGCTCATAACAGCTTCAAAATTCCAAAAAACTGGAAACAACCCAAATCTCCTTCAAATGGATTAACAAACTGTGGTACATCCATGCAAGGAATACTACTCAGCTATAAAAAGATATGATTTACTGATGATAGAAACAACAGTACGGATATGTCTCAAATACATTATGCTAAGTGAAAGAAGCCAGACTCAAAAGGCTACAAATAATAAGATTCCATATATATATATATATATATATATATATATACATATATATATACACATACATACATACATACATGACATTCCCCAAAAGACAAAACTACAGTTACCTATAAGGACTAAAAGCAGATCAGGGGTTGCCAGGGCAGAGGGAAGACGACAGAGTGAGAAGAGTTGACTACAAAAGGGTGCACAAAGAAACTTGGTGGGGGAGGGTAATGGGACAGTGCTGTATTCTGTTGGACTGACAGTTACATAATTGTATGCATTTGTCAGAACTCAGTATACTAAAAAGGATAAATTTTACTGTAAATCATATTTCAATTTAAAAGGATGAGTTGATAGTATGAAATGGCTACCAGAAATGTTGCTATTATCTGAACTGATATTACCAGAAGTTTAGGATAGTAGCTCATAAACTTTGCTGAGCATTAATAACTCAAGATGGATTAAAGACTTAAATGTAAAACACAAAACTATAAAAATCCTAGAAGAAAATCTAGGCAATACCATTCAGGACATAGACATGGGCAAAGATTTCATGGCAAAAACATCGAAAGCAATTGCAACAAAAGTAAGAATTGGCAAATGGGATCTAATTAAACTAAAGCGCTTCTGCACAGCAAAAGAAGCTATCATCAGAGTGAACAGACAACCTACAGAATGGGAGAAAAGTTCTGCAATTATCCATCTGACAAAGGTCTAATATTCAGAATCTATAAGGAATTTAAACAAATTTACAACAAAAAAAAAACCTCATTAAAAAGTGGGCAAAGGACATGAACAGACACTTCTCGAAAAAAGACATTTATGCAGCCAATGAACATAGGAAAAAAGCTCAACTCACTGATGATTAGCGAAATGCGAATCAAAACCACAATGAGATACCAGTCAAAATGGCAATTATTAAAAAGTAAAGACTATGACGAGA